>NC_000003.12:171281331-171432846 GCF_000001405.40 Homo sapiens | reverse complement strand
GGCATTTCCTGCTCTATTATATTGAGTTCTTTATTTTGAGTTTTTATTCACTTAGCTGGAATGTATACTTGGAATAGATTTTTATGAGAATGTTATACACGTGCAGTGTTTTATGAGGCTTCACATTGCTTAAAATGTTTCTTTTGCCTTTTTTAAATGAACAATAATTTGTCAGGGAATACAAGGATTTTATCATAAACTTTTGCTACCAAACTTAGATGGTTCATAGGCTAATGGTGTTTAATATTGTGAAAGAGAGGCTTAGGGCTAATTTGATATCTATTACTTTGTAGTTAACCTGATTTTCCGTCTGGTTAGTGCTATGAGTTTGGGAAAATAATGGAAATTACTTTTTTAGGCATAGATATAGGGTTTGTTTTCAGTTATTTTGCTTAGTACTCACTGTAGTTTTGCTCCTGGGAGCAGGTTTTTGTCCACATGTGAATATTTATCTTTACTATTTTTATTTTTGGTTCTGTTCCTTACTATTGAATTTCTTCCTACTTAGTTTGGATCTCTGTGCTGTATGTTCCCTCTCTATCACCTTTTCCTTATTTATTTTTGTATCCGTCTTTTGAAATTGCATCTGGTTGTGATCATGTTTGTCTTTCACAGCATAGGTATTATTTTCCACAAGTCGATTGTGTTCTGTATTGCCTCCAGCTTTCCTCTTGCATCTTAGGCTTCCTTGTATTCTTTCTTTTCATTTGTGTCCTCATTTCAATCTTTTCTTCTCTTTTGGCTATTGCCTCTTGTCTTAAGGAGGCCATCTTCTCTTAGAGTTCTTTTGGTTTGGAAACACTATTAAAAATGCATACTAAAATTTTTATATATTACGTTTTGCATGTTTTCTTCTGAGTTGTCAAGATACAATACAAAATAAGGAAAATCAATCATTTCCCAGTGTCACACAGGCTTATTGTTGTGTTTCTGTGTATGCATTCTCAAAAAGAGGTAATTAACTAGTCTTGGGATTTGCCAAAAGGCAGGATGTAAGTTGCCAGCCTGGGTGGCAGCCTTTTGGTGGGTGACTTGAGCAAACTCTAATGTTAATCTTCATGTGTTTGAATTCTGTGTAGAATGTACTAAATTTCTCTGTGACTCAGTTTTCCTATCTGTAAAATGGGAATAATGATTTTACCAATTTCATAGGGTTGTTGTGTGGATTAAACAAACTGATATATGAAAAAAAAGACGCAAAAGCAGTATCCTCCTAAGTGGAGAAGTAAGTTACTGTACTAATGCATGCATAAAACAAAAATATGGTCCTAAAATTATTTTTAGATTTTAAAACTTAATGTAGGCTCATTAAAAAAATTGAATATTACAAGAACAGTAAATAGAGAGTAAAAAGAACATGTAAAATCTTCACTCAGAGGAATTATCAGAGGAATCCCTGATAATATTTTGGCATATTTCTCTCCAGTATTTCTGTTTATTAGAAAATTATATTAAAAAGAATGTACTTGTATGGAACCCTGGACATTTTGGCAATAAAACTCTAAAGACGCTAAATATATAAAAATACGTCAAGATCTATCATAGCAGCTACCACTGTATTCTGTTTGCAATAGACATGAAGAAAAAGTTTGTTGATATGGGGGATAAATGGAGCATATTATACTATTCCAAGACCTTTTTATGTTAATCATTATTTTCCTTTTTATGTAGGAGACAACATTTTCATTTTGGGCTCTTCTTTTGTAAGAAAGTTCTTACAAAAGAAGATTCTTTGCTTAATTAATTTAACCTTTCTGAAATATAGGTTTCTAAAGAGCCAAAACAAGCAGGACGGACCTATGAAATAAGTGCGTAATTCATTATTACTGGGTTTCTTCAAAGCATAATGTTAAATCTGGTTCAGCTTGGTGTGGCTCTACTTTTTATCTTCTGCAACATGCAAATTGATTAAAATTAAGGTCTACTCTTCTCTTGGCAGGAATTTTTATTTAGCTATCTTCTCCTGTATTCACCATGAAGGTGTAATCTGAAAACTCAACTATATTTCCAAAGTTGAAATGTAAAGGAAATGTAAAAGAAGATTCTCATCCAATTAATAAGATTAAGCTATTTAATATTAAATGATTTATTACTAAATAAAAACATTTATTTTTGTTATTCATTTAATATTAAATTAAATGATTTTAAACAAGCTCTTGATTAAAACAATATTAATTTCATTTCTTTTTTTTTTTTTTTGTCTGTTTTTTGAGACAAGGTGTCACTCTGGGCCAGGGCTGAATGCAGTGGCACAATCTTAGTTCACTGCAACCTCAAATTCCTGGGATCAAGCAATCCTCCCACCTCAGCCTTCTAAGTAGCTGGGACTGCAAGTCCACACCACCACTCCGGGCTAATTGTTTTATTTTTTGAGAGACAGACCCTCCCTATGTTGCCCAGGTTGGTCTCAAACTCCTGGCCTCAAAGGATCCTCCCACCTCAGCCTCCCAAACTGTTGGGATTACAGGGATGAGCCACTATGACAGGGCTTATTTTCTTGGTTCACGTTAAAAAACAAAGTATTTTCATTGTTTAGCGTAAAGGCATTTTGTTTTTACTTTTGTTTTTTAAAATTAGGTGTAGAGGTAAAATTCACTTGATGTATATTGCGATGAAACTACTTGAAACAGTATTGCAAAACTCAAGTTTCTTGAGGGATAGCTATATGCTAAATACCGTATTTGGTGTTTTGCATATTATTTAGTTGACAAGATCAAACAACGTAAGGCGGTATTTCATGTCACTAGTTTTTAAACTTTAGCGTGCATAGCCTTACCTGGGGAGCTTGTGAAATTACAGGGAGGTGGGCTCTATCTACCTCTAGAGATTCTGAATCAGTAGGTCTGGGATGGGTCCCCAAAATTTGCATTTTAACAAAATGATGCTGCTGCTGCTGCTGCTTTCAGGATCACATTTTTAGAATCACTGTGATGAGCCACACAGGAGTGGTAAGGACAGCAAATTGCAGGGTGTTCGGGGGAGGAATGCTGCAAACCACTCTTGGTTAGAATGTATGTGAAAGGCTTCTGGGGCGAGGTAGGATTCCAGCAAGACCTTGATGGGCAATTAACATAGAGTAGAGAAGAGGGGATGGAGGAGAGAACAACCAGAGAGGGAATTGTGTAAGCAGTGATATGGAGGTAAGAATGTAAAATGCTTGTTTGAGGGATGGCAAGACCATCTGAAAGGAAGAAGTGATTCTTGCTGTATTAGGGAATAAGATTGAACAGGCTAATAGGGGCTGGATTTTTGAAGATGTTTAATATCTGGTTGAAGAGTTGTACTGTACTTTGCCTAGGCAAGGAACTGGAGGTGGGGTAATCTAAGAATTTCAAAGGGGAAAATGTACCTAGTAGAAAACATATTTAAAAGGAAAATAGAAATAGCCAAAATCAGGCCCTAGCTAGTATTCTTTTGCTCTCTCTCCCTTCTTCTCTCTTAACTTCTGAAGGTTATGTGGAGCCAATAAATATTATTTATTAGATGAGTGACATGGGCACAATAGTGTTTTAGAAAATTAAGCTGGTGGCATTGTAGAATGAATTGTAGAGGGCAGAGGGAGACTCTAGTAGATATCCTAGGCTTGAAGAGGTGAAAGTTCTTATTTGGGGATCATGATACCCTTAAAATAAGTAGGGCAGTTAAAATAACGCAGCTTGCTTTGTGGAGGGATGGTTAAGATGGAGTGTTTGGTTTTGGCTTGGTGAACTTCGTAGGGCAGGATGACTTCTAACTGGAATGTGTAGCTCGTGGTTGTGGATCTAAAGCTGGAGCTTGGGAGACAGGTGGAAACTAAATATAGGAATACAGTACTTGATGGAATGATAAATTCATTCATTTGTTCAATTAACAATGTCTCAGTCACTGAACTGGGTGCTAGAGACCCTATAAACAGTCATAAAGACTATGAGTGTAAGGTCTTGGCAGTGTAGCTTCAGGGGGACAAGGGACAGAATTCAGAGGATGCTGTGTTTGAGAGAAGAGAAGAAAAAGGAGGAGACAATGAAAGAGAAAGAGGAGGCTATGGAAGGAATGATCACAGCCATCACATGTAAATCAGGATGTTAGATCTCCCACCATGGAGAGAATTTGAGGAAGGAGGTAATAATGGGCAGTGCCAAATGCTGCAGCACAGAATTGCAGCTACTGGCCTGGATGACTAGAGTATGCTGGTTGCCCTGCGGGAGTGCTCTTTGGAAGCAGAGTTATCTGTAGTGGAATGGGGTGGGGGTGGGGGCGGAGCCCTTGAGAAAGTGAAGACCCTGGATTCAGAGCAATTGTTCAAGAAATTTAGTGTCGAGCATTAAGAGAGATTAGGACAGCAGAAAGCTAACATGCTTTCTTTTCTTAAAGTGAGGAAGACCTTTGGTCGGTTGACCACAGGGGGCAGGAAGCAGTGGTGGGGGAGAGATAAAGCTATGACCCTGCAGTCTTGCTTATCTCAATACAGAGCTGCTCCATTTTTCTGGTTTCTGGGGGCCTAGTCCTTGGGAGTAACTTTGACTCCTCTCTTTCTCTGCACTGATCATTAGATCCATCAGAAAACCTTTTTGGTATTTTATCTTCTTGAAAAATATAGCCATAATCCAACTACTTCTCACATCTATGCAACTATCAACTTTCTCCTGAATTATTGAAAGTCTCCGAACTCATCTCCCTTCTCCTTCCTTGACCTTGAGTCTGTTCTCATCCAGTGTCTAAAGTGATCCTAATAAAGCTTAAGTTGGATAATGCCACTGCACAAAATCCACCAGGGTCCCCCTCTCTTTTATTATTCACTAGAGTAAGTATTGAATTCCTTGCAGTAACCTACAAGGCCCTGCCAAACCTGACCTGCTCCCCCAGCCCCCAGCACCAAACACACACCCTCCTCATTCCTCAAGCTCAAGCCCTCCAGGAGACTGCAGCGTCCTCTCACGTAGGAGTGCTCTTCTCCAAATACCTGCTTGGTCTTTCTCCTCTTTTGGGTCTTTGTTCACATGTCATCTTTTAAGTGAGACCTCCCAGGACACTCTTTTATAAGTTGTAACTCCATGGCGCTTATCACCTGACTTAAGTATTTTATTCCTGTCCCTGCCCACTAGGCTGTAAACTTCACAAGGGTGAGCCATCTTTCCCTTGATTTTGTTCGTTGTTATAGTACCAGTGGCTAAAACGCCTTTTAGAAAGGTAGCACTAAGTGAATTTTTAACTAATGCGAGAGAAAGCAGGCATAGCCATTGAGGGAGACAAGGCTTAGAGGGTAATAATAATAGCACTTTTGTTATGCACCCTGCTCTGTGGCAGGTGCTTTAATATGTTGTTGTATTTAAATCTTATAACTGCCTTGCACGGTGGGCATTATACTCCATTTTACAGCTGAGGAAACTGAGCATTGGGCACATGGTTAATAAGCGTATAAGCTAGTAGATTACAGAGGCAATCTAATATGCCTAAGAAAAGGGGATCAAAGGCAGAGGATTTAATCTTAGAAGTTAGGAAGGATTTTTCTCAAATAGGAAGAAAGGAAGAGAAGAAACATAAGAGCTGAGATGGAAAGGAGAATGTGCGAGGAAATCTTTTTTCTGATGACCTTGATTTTTCTTAGTAAAGAAGGAAGCCAGCTTTTCTGCTGAGATGGAGAGGAGCTGACTGGGGATTTCAGGAGGGCAGGAAAGGTATGAAGTAGACCTATCTGGGCAGTCTGATGAAGATATAGATTAACAGTGGGATTCCTGAGATGTGTTTACGGCCCAGCTAGAATAATACATCAACTAACAAAAGGATGTTAGCAATAGATGGTGTCTTTGTGATCAATTAATCCAGCTCCCAAATTTTATGCTTTATCATTCTGTATCCCTTTCGTCTGTGATCTACCAAGACCCTGGGCACTTCCACTTATCTTGGACGATCTTACATCTGTTTTCCATTTGCTCATTGGTTTGTTTATGATCATTTTTTAGTGGTATTTGTCCAGGTAGGCAGCCATTCAACACCTGAATCTCGCTCTTCATTGACCTCTCCAACTCCAGCGACCTTAACCTCTCCTTTCCTCTGTCACCTTTGCCTAAGGCTGGACTTCAGGAGACTGTGGCCTTACCGGGAAAGTAAAGACGGGTTGACAGTGGCAGAGTGTGGTGAGAAGGGGCTAAAGGACAGGTGCCCAGGAGTGGAGAAGCCCTGGAGACTCTGGAGAGGATGGGGCTCCAGTTCAAAAAGGAGGGAGGTTGAAGCAAGGTAGACCTGAATAAAACTCATTCCTGTTTAAAATAATTTTGTATACATTCCAAGATGATTTTATATATATATATTTATTATACTTTAAGTTCTAGGGTACATGTGCACAACGTGCAGGTTTGTTACATATGTATACATGTGCCATGTTGGTGTGCTGCACCCATTAACTCGTCATTTACATTAGGTATATCTCCTAATGCTATCCCTCCCCCCTCCCCCCACCCCACAACAGGCCCCAGTGTGTGATGTTCCCCTTCCTGTGTCCGAGTGTTCTCATTGTTCAATTCCCACCTATGAGTGAGAACATGCGGTGTTTGGTTTTTTGTCCTTGCGATAGTTTGCTGAGAATGATGGTGTCCAGCTTCATCCATGTCCCTGCAAAGGACATGAACTCATCATTTTTTATGGCTGCATTGTATTCCATGGTGTATATGTGCCACATTTTCTTAATCCAGTCTATCATTGTTGGACATTTGGGTTGGTTCCAAGTCTTTGCTATTGTGAGTAGTGCTGCAGTAAACATATGTGTGCATGTGTCTTTATAGCAGCATGATTTATATTCCTTTGGGTATATACCCAGTAATGGGATGGCTGGGTCAAACGGTATTTCTCATTCTAGGTCCCTGAGAAATCGCCACACTGACGTCCACAATGGTTGAACTAGTTTACAGTCCCACCAACAGTGTAAAAGTGTTCCTATTTCTCCACATGCTCTCCAGCGCTGTCCAAGATTATTTTGATGTTTAAAAAGAATGCATTTTTACATGCATGGTGCTGTCATTTCTTCCTTTTTTTTTTTTTTTTTGACAGAGTCTCACTCTGTCACCCAGGCTGTAGTACAGTGGCGTGATCTCCCCTCACTGCAATTTCTACTTCCCGGGTTCAAGGGATTCTCCTGCCTCAGTCTCCCGAATAGCTGGAATTACAGGTGTCTGCCACCATGCCTGGCTAACTTTTCTGTATTTTTAGTAGGAACAGGGTTTCACCATGTTGGCCAGGCTGGTTTTGAACCCCTGACCTCAAGTGATCCACCCTCCTCAGCCTCCCAAAGTGCTGGGATTACAGGCGTGAGCCACCATGCCCAGCTCTTCCCTTTTTTTGGACAAATAGAATCCACATTGTTCATAGTAAAATATTTTTAAAATGTGGAGGAAAAAATTATTGTGGGGATATTTGCTTCACAGAGTTAAACGTAAATACTCTGCAGGAATGGGTAATAAATATAGCATGGTAAATAAATCTGTAGATAGTCTATCTAATTATGTATACTTTTCTGTATATTTAGCCATAGGGGTGTTAAAAAGTTGGCATTTGTGTTGCTGTGAACTAATGTTACTATTTATAACATTACTAATGTTTAGCTGAGAAGAATTGTTAGTTTGTACACCAGTCTTTCAGTATTTGGCAGCTGGCTTAAATTGTGGCTTTTGATATTTGGACATGTATATTAAAAACAAGTATTAATTTCATTTCTTTGCTCCAAAACACGCAAATTAATCATGCATAAATTGAATGGGAGTGCATATAAATGCAACATACCAGTTTATGCGAACTCAGAATTTTAATGTAAAGAGTTCGGTTTTAAATGATTTGGGTGATTGTAGTCATTCCCTCTATTTAGTAACATGTGCCCAGTTTTTTTTTTTTATTATGCTTTAAGTTTTAGGGTACATGTGCACAACGTGCAGGTTTGTTACATATATATACATGTGCCATGTTGGTGTGCTGCACCCATTAACTTGTCATTTAACATTAGGTGTATCTCCTAATGCTATCCCTCCCCCCTCCCCCCACCCCACAACAGTCCCCAGTGTGTGATGTTCCCCTTCCTGTGTCCATGTGTTCTCATTGTTCAATTCCCACCTATGAGTGATAACATGCGGTGTTTGGTTTTTTGTCCTTGCGATAGTTTGCTGAGAATGATGGTTTCCAGCTTCATCCATGTTCCTACAAAGGACATGAACTCATCATTTTTTATGGCTGCATTGTATTCCATGGTGTATATGTGCAACATTTTCTCAATCCAGTCTATCACTGTTGGACATTTGGGTTCATTCCAAGCCTTTGCTATTGTGAATAGTGCCGCAATAAACATCCGTGTGCATGTGTCTTTATAACAGCATGTTTTATACTCCTTTGGGTATATACCCAGTAATGGGATGGCTGGGTCAAATGGTATTTCTAGTTCTAGATCCCTGAGGAATTGCCACACCGACTTCCACCATGGTTGAACTAGTTTATAGTCCCACCAACAGTGTAAAAGTGTTCCTATTTCTCCACATCCTCTCCAGCACCTGTTGTTTCCTGACTTTTTAATGATCGCCTTTCTAACTGGTGTCAGATGGTATCTCATTTTGGTTTTGATTTGCATTTCTCTGATGGCAAGTGATGATGAGCATTTTTTCATGTGTCTTTTGGCTGCATAAATGTCTTCTTTTGAGAAGTTTCTGTTCATATCCTTCACCCACTTGTTGATGGGGTTGTTTGTTTTTTCTTGTAAATTTGTTTGAGTTCATTATAGATTCTGGATATTAGCCCTTTGTCAGATGAGTAGATTGCAAAAATTTTCTCCCATTCTATAGGTTGCCTGTTCACTCTGATGGTAGTTTCTTTTGCTGTGCAGAAGCTCTTTAGTTTAATTAGATCCCATTTGTCAATTTTGGCTTTTGTTGCCATTGCTTTGGGTGTTTTAGACATGAAGTCCTTGTCCATGCCTATGTCCTGAATGGTATTGCCTAGGTTTTATTCTAGGGTTTTTATGGTTTTCGGTCTAACATTTAAGTCTTTAATCCATCTTGAATTAATTTTTGTATAAGGTGTAAGGAAGGGGTCCAGTTTCAGCTTTCTACATATGGTTAGCCAGTTTTCCCAGCGCCATTTATTAAATAGGGAATCCTTTCCCCATTTCTTGTTTTTGTCAGGTTTGTCAAAGATCAGATAGTCATAGATATGTGGCATTATTTCTGAGGGCTCTGTTCTGTTCCATTGGTCTGTATCTCTGTTTCGGTACCAGTACCATGCTGTTTTGGTTACTGTAGCCTTATAGTATAGTTTGAAGTCAGGTAGTGTGATGCCTCCAGCTTTGTTCTTTTGGCTTAGGGTTGACTTGGCAATGCGGGCTCTTTTTTGGTTCCATGTGAACTTTAAAGTAGTTTTTTCCAATTCTGTGAAGAAAGTCATTGGTAGCTTGATGGGGATGGCATTGAATCTATAAATTACCTTGGGCAGTATGGCCATTTTCACGATATTGATTCTTCCTACCCATGAGCATGAAATGTTCTTCCATTTGTTTGTATCCTCTTTTATTTCATTGAGCAGTGGTTTGTAGTTCTCCTTGAAGAGGTCCTTCACATCCCTTGTAAGTTGGATTCCTAGGTATTTTATTCTCTTTGAAGCAATTGTGAATGGGAGTTCACTCATGATTTGGCTCTCTGTTTGTCCGTTATTGGTGTATAAGAATGCTTGTGATTTTGCACATTGATTTTGTACCCTGAGACTTTGCTGAAGTTGCTTATCAGCTTAAGGAGATTTTGGTGCCCAGATTTATATAGCTATGCAATAAATACCTATGCACATGTTGACACAATGTCACGTATTGACTCATTTGCACATTGTCTAAAATACCTGTAATTTTAGCCATGGAAGGTAGTTAAAAAAAGGGAAAGTTCAACCTGGGCTTAAAATGGCAATTAGAATCACATATTTTCACTGGAGAAGGGATGCAACAGGCTGCATAGTTCAGCTTTTTCATTTGTGCAGATGAAGATCCCAGGGTTCTGAAGATATCCATTGTTCAAAGCCACCGGGCTAGGAAGTGTTAGAGCACTAATGAGAACTCACTAATGAGAACTCCTTTGTATCAATGAAGAGAATGTTTGGTTGATTGAAAAATTTGTTTTTAACACAGTTTTATTGGACTATGAGCTCTTCAAGGGTCAAGGCTAACTTAGGGTCCCATGGTATTCATCTTTGTATCTCAGTGCATAGCACAGTTTCCAGTACATAGTAGGTATTTGCTGAATGCATGATTTCCAAAAGTAAGTTTATTTTTTCCATTTTGATAATATTTAAAAAATACATTAACAAAACAAAAAAGGCATTTTGAGAAAGTAGAGTTTAAAAAATAAAATTAATAAATTGAGTTAAAACTGAAGCTAGTGAATTGGTTTTCTTGACCATATAAATATTGTCTTTATGTTTACAGTTGGACTTACTAATTCCCAGAAATAAATGGCCATTTGTAAACAGTGTGTTTGGTTTGAATTCATATGTATAAACATGTGGTGTGTGTAAGTATGTGTAAGGGAGTTTATATTTTATTTATGTATGTCTTTTACTACTTTATTAATATATATTATATTTTACTTAACATTTCCAGAGAGTGCATTAAAATTAATGTTTCCTGAGACTTAATCTTTCCTGAGAAAGGATCTATCCAATGGTTTAGTCAAACTGACTTTACAGGATGTTCTGTAATTGGTGGACACATTGCTAGTTCCTTCTGTATTAATCATGTTATTTAATTCAGTGTCACAATAATATTATTTGTTGTCTTTATTTACAGACAAAGCACAGAAAAGTTAAGTCTCATTTACACAACTGGTCGGGCGTGGTAGGTCACACCTGTAATCTCAGCAATTTGGGAGGCCAAGGCGGGCAGATCACGAGGCCAGGAGTTTGAGACCAGCCTGGCCAACATGGTGAAACCCCGTCTCTACTAAAAATACAAAAATTATCCAGGCTTGATGTCACGCACCTGTAGTCCCAGCTACTCGGGAGGCTGAGGCAGGATAATTGCTTGAACCTAGGAGGCGGAGGTTGCAGTGAGCTGAGATTGCGCCATTGTAGTCCAGCCTGGGTGACAGAGCCAGACTTCATCTCAAAAAAAAAAAAAAAAAAAAAAAAATTACACAACTAATCAGGAGCAGAGCTAGGTCTTCTTATTCAATGTCTCTGCTTTTTATCCAGCAAACCAGCCTGGCTCCGAGGTTAGCATCTTCATATGTTATCTTATGGTTGGAGTACAGCTGGAGGTGAGAATGAACAAATTTCAGGAATATATATTTTTAAATAGCTGAGAACTACAGTGTACAACCACAGGCACCCACACCCAAAAGGGCTGGTGGTACCATGACTTCAGAAGGAAAGTATGTATCCAAGTTGGATCACAGCTCCCTTATACACAGGCCCATGAAGGGGCTATGGAAAGAGGGGCGTGAATTCTAGAGGATAAGCTGGTAGACTCTTTCCCAAGAGGACTCATTTCAGATGGGTGAATTTATCACAATGGGTCAGTTCTGCCAGTCAGGCTCAGGGACCTCACTTTGTATTTTCTGGGGTATGTGCATGTGTGTGTGTGTCTGCAGGGAGTGGAAGGCAGTTTCTACATCTTGTTTAGAACATTGTGCCAGTTTATTAAATTACAGTGAGAACTAGAACTATCAAAGGCACTTAGTTTATGTAGAACTAATATGCATTTTTTGGTCTAGGTGATAGAGAGACTTAGTTTACTGTCTAACCTGGTCTTTCATATCTTAGTGATGGAAGCAGTACAAAAGGGTAGGATTTGTACTGTAGTCCCCCTTATCTGTGGGTTCATTTTCCACAGTTTCAGTTACTCACAGTCAACCACGATCTGAAAATATTAAATGGAAAATTCCATAAATAAACAGTTCATAAGTTTTAAATTGTCCATCGTTCTGAGTAGCATGATGAAATCTCAAGCTGTCCCACTCTGTCTGCCCAGGACGTGAATCAGGCCCTTGTCTAGTGTATCCACACAATAGATGCTGCCCTCCCTTTAGTCTACTTAGTAGCTCTCTTGGTTGTCAGACCAGATTGACTGTTGCAGTCTTGCAGTGCTTGCGTTCGAGTAACCCTTATTTTATTTAATAATGGCCCCAAAGTGCAAGAGTAGTGATGCTGGCAGATTGTTATAATTGTTCTATTTTATTATTAGTTATTGCTACTAATCTCACATTGTGCTTAATTTATAAGTTAAACTTTACCATAGGTATGTAGTATAGGAAAAAAATTGTGTATATAGGGTTCAGTAGTATTCTTGGTTTCAGGCATCCACATATTCTCTACAGATAAAGGAGGAGTCTTGCACTCATAGCTATTCTGTGGTATAGCTGGGAATAGAACTCTCATGTCCTCAGCATTTGGCCCAGAGTTCTTTCCACTGGTTTTGGATTGGAACTGGGCCTCAGAAGTGCTGGAGAGGTGGGCCTACCTTGAGTGTAAAAAAACTCCTTTTTACTGCTTGCCTTCATGTACTGAGCAGTTTTATTGTTTATTCACATGGAGAGTTGGAATAGTGGTAACATTAAAGTAAACATAAACTTAAAAATCAGTTTAGGACTAGATGCTTGAATACAAACTCCTATAGGCAGGGACCAACTCTGTTTCTTCTGCATATCCCAAAAGGCTCCAGAGGCCCAGGGACAGTTGGGCCTGTCTTACCAACACTTAATGAAACATCGGTTGAAATAAAAACCCTCATAAGTCAGGCATGGCTAAGTCGATCAGTCAGCAAATATTGACTGTCAGCTCCGGGCATGAAATAGTTTGATCACTTGGACACTGGTATCTCCCTTGACTAAAGATGCTAAAAAGCCATCTTGGTTTTAGTGACATGCCTCTTCTCGAGTCACAAACATGTTCATAGAACAGCAAGCTTATAGGTAAGTGGCACTGACTCTGTTGTTGGATATTGAAAAATGAGTGCTTCCACTTCTGCAGTAGCCACTAAAAACTTGTGGTCAAATTCAGTGCCTGAGCTTTGAAATCAATTCAGTTCAAAAAACAGATGGGCTATTCTTCTGATGAAATGCTAATAATATTCAACAATGACCATTAGTTATTAAGTGCTTAGGATACTTGTCGGGCACTGTGCATTACCTCGTTTCATTTTCACACCAACTGAGAACAATTGCCATGCTCTCCCCACGTCACAGAGTAAAGGAACTGGAGGTTCAGAGACTGGCCCAAGGTTACACAGCTAATGAGTGGGAGCACTGGGATCTGAGCCCAGGACTTCCTTCAAAAGCTCTTTGTTTTTTCATCCTTAGGCAATCATCTTGAGCCTTGTCTATTTGTTTATTATTTTTTAAACAGTTTTCTTGTGATGGAGAATACAATTCACCCATTTGAAGTATTCAATTCAATGGATTTTTGTATATTCACAGAGCTGTGCAACCATCAGTACAGTCAATTTTAGAACATTTTTGTCACCTCCAAAAGAAACATCATTCCACATTTCCTTCAACTCTATCCCCATCCCAGCCCTAAACAATCACTAATCTACTTTCTGTCTTTACGGATTTTCCCATTATGGACATTTACTCTAAGTAGATTTATACAATATGTGGTGCTTTGTGACTGGCTTCTTTCACATACCATAATGTTTTCAGGTTTTGTCCACGTTGTTACATGTTATAAAATGAATGTTTGTATCCCCTGTAAATTCATATGTTGAAGCCCTAACCTTCAGTGTGACTGTATTTGGAGACGGGCCCTTTGAAGAAGTGATAATGGTTAAATAGAATCAAAAGCTTGGGCCCTAATCTGGTAGGATTAATATACTTATAAGAAGAGACACCAAAGAGCTTGCTCTCTCTCTGCCATATGGGGACACAGTGGAAAGGTGACCATTTGCAAGCCAGAAAGAGAACCCTCACCAGAAACTGACCCTGCTGGACCTCAATCTGGGATTTCTAGCTGGACCACGATCTGAGATTACTGTAAGACAGTAAAGTTCTGTAGTTTAAGCCACCCAGTCTGTGGTATTTTGTTATGGTAACTCTAGCAGACTAATACCTACCAGGTATTAGTAGTTTATTATTTTTTATGGCTGAATAATATACCATTGTATGGATATACCAATCTTGTTTATCTATTCATCAACTGATGGACATTTGGCTATGATCTCCCATCCCCTCATTCTCCCTACGCCACCCTAAAGCAACCACTAATCTACTTTCTGTCCCTGTAGATTTCTCTGTTCTGGAAATTTCATACAAGTGAAATCATATAATCTTGTGACTGACTTTTTTCATTTAGATTGTTTTCAAGGTTCATCCTTGTAGTAGCATGTATGAGTATTTCACTCCTTTTAATGACCAAATAATATTTCACTGTGTGGAGACTGTAAATGTTGTTTATCTATTCATCAGTTGATGGACATTTGGGTTGTTTCTACCTTTGGGCTATTATGAATAATGCTGCTATGAACATCTGTGTACAACTTTTTATGTGTACATACATTTTCATTTCTCAGGAGTAGAATTGCTGGGTCATACGGTTTGGCCCACGTTTTAGTCTCTAAGGTTTTGTAAGTCCTTATGGAAGTTGCCAGGGTACTCAAAATACGTAGAGGTAGCAGAATACAGAAGAATTACCAAAGGGTTTATGCCGTATTTTTGAAATTTGATAATTATGTTTCCCCTTTCTGCTCCACATAGGAACACTCGATGGAATTATAGAATCTTAGAACTGGAAGGCAAGTGAGAGGTGACCTAGTCTCACTGTTTAATTTTAAAGATGAGGAAATCAAAGTTCAGAGACTGACTCACTTCCCAGGATTGTACAGCTGGGTCATGGCTGGACCCAGACCACACATGTAATCTCTTTTTCTCTCAGGCAGTATTTTCCACTGGGGTAACCTCTCAGAGAGGGAGCAGTTCTTCGGAATGAGGCTCAGTTGCTGAAATAAAGATGCTTCGTATATTGTTTCCCACTGGCTGAAGTCTATCTGGAGTTCAAAACTAGGTCATGGTAATTCTTTGGGAAATGCCATGCAGCCTTAGAGAAAGCTTGTCTTTCAAAGCCCTTTGATTATAGGAAGGGGTGAAGTCCCAGTGAGGTGGTGGGCTTGGGGATTGTCACAAAAGGGTGCTAGTAAGTATTAAAGAAACATACTTATTGAAGTTCAGTGAGCAATCTGATTTCAGCAAAGTAGAATGTGACTGTCTCAGAGCCTGATGATCCAGGAGGCTTACAGATGTCAAGATTCACAAATAGAAATGGAAATTTAAAAAGCTAGGCATGAGATGAGAAGTCAAAAGTTAAATGATTTTTAACTTTTTTTTATAACTATAAGTTATAATACCTTTCACAATACGAGAATCAATTCAATAAGTTCTAAAGAAATAAGTAACTATAAAAGTTCTCATTGAAGAGGGTTAGTGAAGATGCATTTAGTATGAATGGGGAGAGGTGTATAAATCATGATACTGGGATGACTTCCCAAGTTACTTGGTGAAACAAGCCTTTGTTAGCAGAGATAGATAAGAGTATTCAAAACAGCTTACTAAATGCTCTTAATGGCATCTCAGTTTCAAATAAGATATGCTACTAATTTATTGAGTCACTTATTGAATATTTTATACATTGAAAGAACATCTTGATTTCATAATTTCTTCAAAACATATTTTGAGATGCAAAGAGTAGTTTTATTGTTAAACATTTCATGAAATATATAAAATTATTGGCAACTGAATGCAAGTTCCAAAATCTGAAAGATGTACAGTGCCTCAGTACATTTTGTAGCACAGAGACATTCAGGGTCATTTAAAAATTGAAGCAAATAAATAGTCATTATGTGGTCTAAATTAAAGTACAGTAATTTCGAAAATTCAACAACCCATTTATGAGCTATGTACTCTATGTAAGCCATTGTTTGCTTCTTAGAAATGCAAAGATTAACCAGGTATCATTTCTACTGCCAGGGAATTTACAATTTAGTGGCTGAAGCAGCATTTAATAAGAACTTTATTGGCAAGAGAAAGAAAGAGAGAGAATAATAGAAGCGTAAAGGACAGGCCTAGGAAATATAGTTTTCATAATCATCTTGTAAATAAGGATTTATAAAGCCTGTCTCCTCCAATTAGTATTAAAGATGCCCTGTGGAGGCTAAGCCCTGCTGAATTCAGGATATAGATATTACTGTGATGAGATGTATGTGATTGGAGAAGGACATGATATATATGGAAAATGCTTAATGATTACTTGCAGGGGTGAATAGTGATAAATTGGACATTGGCTTTAAATATTGTAGAGTAAATGGATGTAGCTGATGAAGCTTTTGTAAACTATGCCATCCATATTCAGCTTTCTCTAGTTTTTCGATTTTCTAGCTTCCCCCTGCAATCCAGGATCCAACTGAGTCTTTTTTTCTTAATCTAGTAGAGCCTCTACATCTTATTTGTTCTTCCCGATACTAACATTTTTGAAGAGACCTGTCCAGTTGTCTCGTAGAATGCCCTACATTCCGGATATGTGATGATTTCCTCATGATTACATTCAGATTACATATTTTTAGCAAGAACATTTCATGGCTGATGATGAGTAGCTCTAATTGTATCAGATTAGGGGCACATGATGTCAGGTTGTTATTCCCTCAGTTGCCAATTTACTGTCATATCTGCAAAAATCCAGGAAATAACTTGGACCTTCTTCTCAAAAAGATAGCCTAGGACATTTATCTGTCAGTTTTTGCTTACTCTGAGGCATGCGATGAAATTGCCTTAGGCAACGAGAGACCTCTTGCCTGGGGGGTAGAAGGGGAATGTTGGTCATTAATTTTTTCTTTCTTTCTTTTTCTTTTTCTTCCTTTCTTTCTTTTTCTTTCTTTTTTTTTTTTTTTTTTTTTTTTGAGACAGTCTCGCTCTGTCACCCAGGCTGGAGTGCAGTGGTGTGATCTCAGCTAAACCTCTGCCTCCCAGGTTCAAGTGATTCTCCTGCCTCAGCTTCCCGAGTAGCTGGGATTACAGGCATGAGCCACCACGCCTGGCTAATTTTTGTATTTTTAGTAGAGACAGGGTTTCACCATGTTGGCCAGGCTGATTTCAAACTCCTGACCTCAGGTGATCTGCCCGCCTCTACATCCCAAAGTGCTGGGATTAGAGGCTTGAGTCATCGTGCCCAGCTAATTTTTTTTTAATCAACTGATTGGCATTAGGTCCAGTGATGTAACTATTGTAACAGTTGTTGGAGTCATGGCTGTTCCAATCCTAGGGGTTCTGTACACTTGTTCTTTGTCCCATCCATGCACTAATTTTTTTTGTGCATTTATCTTAGTTGTGAGATTTGTTTTTGTTCTTTTGGCTTCATGTATAAGAATCTTTTCAAATTGGAAGAGGTAGAGATTTTAAACAGGGAAATTTATAGGCTGCATTCCTTTATGCAATAGGTACTTATTGGGAGCTTCCTATTGTCAGTCACCTTTTCAAGTGCTGATGATACAGTGGTGAGCAATACAAAGCCCTGCCCTCCTAGATCTTACATTCCAGTGCTGAAGACCAGTTATAAATAGATGAAACATTTGTAAAATGTCTAGTAGTGGTTAAGTGCTATGATGAAACAGTAGGGAAAGTGGTTGCAGAGTGCGTCTGGGGTTGTTAATAAGATTAGATGGTTTGAGGACCTCTCTGAGGAGGTGATATTTGTGCAGAAATGTGAATAAGGAAAGGGAGCAGGCCATGCACTGAGAACCACCCATGAATAGGTACTGAGATGGTACATACTCTGTATGTCTGAGAAAGAGCCAGGCAGCGGGTTGGGCAACTGGAGGGCAGTAAGGAAGGGGGAGCCTGGTAGAAAACTGGTGGAAAACTGGACCAAGGAAGACTGTCCAAGTACAGTAGAGGCTGAGTCTGGTATCAAGGAATCCCAGCAGGCTGATGCTGTGTACTCCTACTCTACTTCTAGGAAAACAGGCTCGAAAGACTGAAAATGGCTAGTTTAAAAACAGAGTTTCAACTGAGGTCTTCCACTTAGTCTCAGGTAGTATAGAACTGCATTAAATACCATTTGACAGATTTGCTTTGCATTATATCTCCAAGGTGATACTATAGATACTTTAACCAAAACACAAATTAGCAGTGGGTTACACACTTTCCAGCTGGGTATCTCTTTGTAAAGATATGCGAATAGTTTTAAATCCTGTGGTGCCATAAAATGAACACTGAAGTAGGAGTTGGAAGATCTGAATCAATGAACTGGCCTGTGGGAAAGCTCTTGAACCTTCTCCAGCCTGAGCAGTCCCACTTAGCACACTGAGATAAACCCCCTGGTTATCTGATTGGGGCTGCTGGAAGCATGCGATGAAGGATGTGTATGAACGTGCTTTATAAACTATGATGCATCCAGCAGGTCTAAGGTATTATTATCATTTAGACCTTTGTTATAGTTTTGCTAAACAGATGCAGTCTATTATCTAGCTCTCATTTGGAAGGGGAATGACAAATAGTTACTTCAAGGTACAATGCTTCTTAAAGAGCAGAATCTGATCAATGCACCTGAAAGAACCTCATGAATTACTCAGCTATTCTTCAAACCAGCATATCTGAACTAAGGGAATGATCACTTTTCATTCCCATTTAAAGCTCCTGGAAATCAGCATGCTCTGTGTGAGACCCTATCTGGGGAATCTTGAGTTTCGATGCTGGCTTAATAAAGTAGAAACAGCTTTGTGCTTCTTGGAGAAGTGGAAATTTGAGAAGGATTGGTACGTCTAAGTTAGGCAATTGGTAAAGATTCATCGAGTCTCTAACATAAATGGGTGGATGGATGGATAGATGGATAGGTAGATAGATTATTAATAGATAGCTGGTGCTGTGGGGGATTAAAAACGTGTGAGAAATGGGTAGTGATAATAATTATAGCTGACATTATTGAGCACTTATATATTACCAGGCATGAATCCCCCCTTCAAACAATGTGAGATAACTACAATTATAATCCCATTTGACAGAGAAGGAACTACGATTTGGAGAAGTTAAGTAGCTTCCTCCAGGTCATACAGCTAGAATATGGCAAGGCTGGGATTTGACTTCAGATCTGCCTGACTGCGAACCTGTACTCTTAACCATGTGCTCTCTCAAGTTGCATATAGTATCCTTGAGGAGGGAGGATTTTTCTCTAAGGAAAGTTACATAGTAGTAAATTATGTAGAAATGAAACTGAAAAGTCTGCACAGGTAGGAATTCAGTAGAAAAACAAAATGGATTAATGGGGGCCAAATTGGTCATGGGAGGTCTGCTGGAAGAGGAGGTCCTTTAGCAGGGTCTTAACAGACTGGTAGGACTTGAACTGGAGGAAATGAGCCAGTGGGTGATGCTGAGAGGATCCGGCCAGTGCAAAGATGCAGAGGTGGGAATGAGCAAGATGTTTATGTTCAGGGACAAGCAGGCAGAGAGGCCTTGTCCTTTATAGAAGAGTTCCTGATGAGGCATGGGGTGGGATATGTGTGTGTGATAGCATTAGAATGGAAATTACTGTGAAAGGTAGAGGAAGGTAGGCCAAAGAGACTGGATTTTATCCTATTAGCATAAAAAATCCTCAGATGGCTCTGAAACCAGCTAGTTATTTAATCAGAGCCGTGTCTGAAGGACTTAATTTGGAATCAGATTTAAGGACCCATTAGAGTTGCAAAAGATTGAATGTAAGTAAAAATATGTATGCGCATATGATATTATCATGTATTTGTGTATCTCTAGTTAAAAATAAAAGGAAAATGCACATTGTTTCCCTGAGTTATGAATACTGCATATGCAAAATCTCCCAGAATTATGCCCATTCCGTGTTTAAAAAGAGGAGTTGAGGCTCTGGAGAGGAAATTCTCGCCAAGGTATAGTTTGCCTGCTTGGCAGAAAATGAGGTGTGCATGTTCCTGATGCTTCCAGGTTTCCTTCCCATTCTTGTGTTTCATTTTTGCTAGCTTGGCTGTGTTCCCTCTGGTCTGCATAACAAAAAAATAGTTACCATTGATTGAAAACCTACATTCTGAGAGTTCACAGCAACCAATTATAAGAATTAGATGGTATTATCCCTATTTTGCTGGCAAGGAAACTGAAGCTCAGAAAGTTTAGAAACTAAAGTCACATATCTAGCACAGTAATTGGCAGAGTTAGACTTAGATATCAGTCTTGTTTAGTCAGAAAAGCCCTGCTCCTTCTTCTATACTTTGTGTGGTGGTTAGGAGTATAAACTTGGGTGTTAGCTCTTGCTTTCTAAGTGCTCTTGGGCAGGTTATTAAAGTTATTTGTGTCTCATTTTCCTCATCTGTAAAATGCTGATAGTCGCAGTACTCACCTGGCACATTATAAGGGCTCAATTAATCTCTTTTATGATTTTTAAAAATGATTGCTTTCTATCACCAAGTTGTTCTGTTGGCTGTAACATTCTGGACCTCAGAAAAAGACTTAAATTTTGGCACAAGGAAAGGAGGAACATCTTTGAAAATTCATTTCAGTTTGTGCACATTAATTTGAAAACTCTAATTAGCTATCTATTTTTTCCCTGGGGTTTTCTTAACCCAGTTTCCACGTTGCTGCTGCTCACCTCTTCCTCTCTGTGTACCTGTCAACAGTGATCACACACTGCTGCTCTGGGGTGGACCCTGTCTGCCTAATGTTGGTTAAGCAAGAAAGAACTTGATGTCTGCCTGTCATTCCTGCCTTCTCTTGAACAGGGACGAACTGCCTCTTCTCCAAGAGAAAGGGTTATTAGACTGGCCATACCTTGTTTTTGGACTTTGCAGAGCAAGGACAACTCAAGTAGGATGGTTTGAAGTTTCTCAAGAAGCCCCTCAGCAGGCTTGAAGACCTGCTATAAGAGCAGGCACCCAAGGCAAAAAAGCCACCAAGCAGTCATCAGGAATGGGTAAAGAAAGGATTCAGACAGAACCAGTTCCTACAGGGCTTGGTCACCGTCTAAAATGGAAAACTTCTCGCCCCATCCTTTGTGTGTTCTTCTAGGGCCTAGAACACCAGAGATATTCATTAACAAGTTGCTGGCGGGGATCAGCTTCGGTGTAATTTCTAAGTGGGGCTTTCCGGGAGCTATGTCTTCCTTGCCTGACTTTAATGAGCAGTTTTATATGCAGATATATTCTTTGGTACTAGTAGTATTGATTTCTCATCCTGATTTAAAATAACCTGAAGTTTTCCTGCTCATCTGAATGAATATTCACAACAGGAATTAAATCTGTATGTCCAGGACTGCATAATTATCTATTCATTTCCGCTTGGAAGACCAGTATAAAAAGGTGAGCCATGAAGTCTTTCGGTGACCAAAATTTGGAATTAAACCTGTTGCACCTCCATGAAAATATTAATAGCTTTTTTTTTTACCCAGATGACATTATAAAATACATGCAATAAATTTATATATTTGATGATTGCCAGTGATCAAAGGCAACTCTTTTTTAATTTTTTCTAATAAATTCCCCAAACTTGGAAGATAGCAGTGAAATGAAAACACACTAAATAATTAACTAGCACAGTTGACCAGCACCACTTTCAATCTCCCAACATTAAGATTATGATTTCTCAGCCAGCCTGGTCAACAGAGCAAGACCTTATCTTTACAAAAAAATTAAAAAATGAAAAATTAGCCAGGCATGATGGTATATGCCTGTAGTCCCAGCTCCTTGAGAGGCTAAGGTGGGAGGATTGCTTGACCTCAGGCATTCGAGGCTGCAATGAGCTATATCATGCCACTGCACTCCAGCCTGGGTGACACAGCGTGAGGCCCTGTCTCTAAAAAAAAAAAAAAAAAGATTATTGATGTTTTACAGGAGTGGACATCTACATGTGCACAAATCTGATCCACTGGGGCTCATTCTGCCATTAGCCCTGTTTGTGATGCAGACCATGCAAGGCAATCTGAGTGTAGTGGATTAATGGTGGCTTCCAATTCAATTCTCCTGTTGAGAAGTGGGGTCTATACCTCCTTCCCCTTGCATCTGAGTGGGTTTGATGACTGATTTGACATATAAAATATGGCAGAAATGAGTCTCTACCAATTTTCCAGGCAAAGTCTTTTTTTTTTTTTTTTTTTTTTTTTGAGATGGAGTCTTGCTCTGTCGCCCAGGCTGGAGTGCAGTGGCGCGATCTCGACTCACTGCAAGCTCCACCTCCCGGGTTCATGCCATTCTCCTGCCTCAGCCTCCCGAGTAGCTGGGACTACAGGCTCCTGCCACCACGCCTGGCCAATTTTTTGTATTTTTAGTAGAGACGGGGTTTCACCGTGTTAGCCAGGATGGTCTCGATCTCCTGACCTTGTGATCCGCCCGCCTCCGCCTCCCAAAGTGCTGGGATTACAGGCGTGAGCCAATGCGCCCAGCCCAGGCAAAGTCTTAAAGAGACTGCAGCCTTCATTCATATCCTGAGAAACCAGCTGCCATGCAAGGAGCTGATTACTCTGAGACCTCCATGCTGTGAGGAAGCTGAAGATACTCATCCAGAAAGGCTGTATGGAGAGAGGTGTCAGCCAGCCTTCTCAGGAAGGTGCCAGACATGTGAGTGAAAAAGCCTTCAGATCATTCCAGCTTCAGCTGCAAAGTAAAAGCTACTAGAACCATGAAAGATAATAAAATTACTACTTAAAGCCACTAAGTTTTAGGGTGGTTTGTTTTCTAGCATAGCAAACCAGAAGATGCTTTTGAGTACTGAGAATTGTGTATTTCTCTTTTTACAGATAGGTGCTGGGACCTCTGTAGTTTGATGTTATCAAAGTTCTTTTAGGATTGGCAGAGGGCCAAAGAACCCTGTATAAATTGCTGCTTCTCTTCTGAATTCTAATTTTTATTTAACTTTGCCTTGCTTGTTTGTACAAAATTGTGGTGAATATAAATTTCCCTTTCTCTGGCATAATATACATGCAAAGCAAGTGTTGCATAGGCCAGAAGAAACACTGGGATAGGTAGGAAAAGCCTACAAATTGGCAGAAAAGACACTAAAAATGATTAGAAATTAAGAATAGTATGGTAACCCATAATATACTGCTTGCACTAAAGATGGAGAGAGACAGAGAGAAAATTTAGTCTTGATTATTTAACATTTGGCATCCTAGATGAAATGACAATTGAAAATGATTAGATGCACAGGATTCTCTGACACCCATGTGATGTATGTGGTGTCTGGGGAGGACGGGAATGAGGTTTCATTCCAGGCTTTGTTTCTGCCCAAACTCATCATCTCAACAATACAGGTAATGGGGGTTATAGAGGCCTTGTTTTGGTCTGTTTATTTTGAACAATTTAAAGTTGGAATTCAGAGTTTACATAGTTGGGAGTTGAAGACCATATACCCCTGTAGTGTACCCATGGCCATTCTAAAAATCAATAAATTAGTCAATAGAAACACATATCAGCTAGAGTAATATTCATTTTTCAGGTTTGGTTTTCTGCTTATCTTTTTATTAGTGGTCAGTGGTAGACTGAGGTCACGTTGTTCCTACAGATGGTGTAAATATCGTTTATCAAATACCTTCCATGTGCCGGACACTTTGCTGGGTGTTGAAGATTGTTAGGCAAGTTTCACCCCAGAGAAACTCACAGAACTTTTGTTCTTAACACTTGTTTTTCTTTATCTTACTACCTGTTTTCCACATATTCAGCTCCTTTTGGATCTTTGCAAGGATATGCAAATATCAAGTTGCTTGTTGCTAATATTTGTCTTTAGCATTTCCAATTCTGGTTTTCTCAAATTTTACCCAAGAGTATGAGCACAGAAATAAAAGCATTAATTAAATGCACAAAATGAAAAAGAAAATAACTATAAAACATAGTTCATCCCCCCTCAGGGACACTTTTATATTAGTGTCCCTGAAGGGGGCTGAACTATGCTTTATAGTTAGCAGTATACAGGTGGGGTAGAAAGAAACTCCCTGAGAGATGCTTTTTACTCTTATTCCCTGATGTGCAGTTGCGAGTGAGGTGTACCGATTGGCACTAATAACAATATCTCCTAACATTTGCATAGCGATTTAAAGCTTTCGCATACTTTATCCTTTGTCAGTTTGCAGTTGAGGCGCCTGATATTTAGAGACGCTTAGCTTGCCATACCACTGGGGTTCAGCCAGAGGGAAAATAAGAAGAGGTGAAAGAGGGTGGTTTGTGTTGTATGTCTGGTAGGTATCAGGCCCTTTAGCATGGCACTTCATTTAATCATCACAACAACCTACTGAGGTGGGTAGTCCCATAAACAAGCTTATCTCACCATTGAGGGAATTGAGGCTCAGGAGGATTAAGTGACATGGCCGAGGCAGTCAATGATGCCAGATGCTGAATTGGATCCAGATCGGCCTGCTTTCTGATGTCTTCTGACCTGCATAGAGAATCTTGGTCACCTGACCCTAAGTAAAAGTCCTTCATGGCGGAATGAATCGGATAGCCCTTTCCTCCAGCCACCTTCATTTGGCAAGTCTAGGCCCTGGCTCCTGTTGCAGCTTCCCTTCATGGCTAAATGAGCCACCGGTATCTTTCATTTCCTAAAAGCTTATTAAATAAGATTTGAAAGTCAGGGCTTCCATAAATAAAAGATCCTTTTTTGCAAAATTTTCCAGATTGAGCGGGGGAAAAAAAAGCCCTAATGTGGTATTTTATTTGTCTATGTGGACTTTTTTTCTTTTCATTTATTTAATAAAGACATAGAATCTATACAAGGTACAGAACATAAACATTATGTGAGAGATGTTATATTTACTTTCATCACCTTTTTTAGAAGAAGCTGCCACCAAAATGGTTTTTTATGGAAATTATATCTTGTTATGAGTCCCATTATACTGTCTTATGATTCCCATTATACTGTCTTATGATTTTTTTCTTTTATCTTCAGCCATTTATGGACATTATTATCTCAGAATGTGTGCCTCAGATAGATGTGTCATTGTGGGTTATGAAAGCTGACTCAGAACCATGATTGCTGAAGGGATTGAAGACGGGAAGCAGCCACGAGGCACCTGAATGTCTTTTTTTCTGGACTGTTAAATGATACTTCTGATTCTTGAATGAGCCTGATGAGATAGATGGGCGCCTGTTGAAACTCTGAGATTCTTGTGTGTGTTTCATTCATAGTGGAAGATGCTGTCGTGTCACAAATAAACTTAGGGTGGCCTTGCATGTAGCAAGAACTTCAAAATACTTGTTAGATTAAATTTAAACTTTTAGATGTTTCTGTTCCTCTGGAAAATGGAGATATAATTTCTGCTGTCCAACTAAAGTGTTTGTCTGGTGCTGATTTGCAGAGGGTAGGTGTTGTCTTAGTGGCCCCTCCTGTCTGTCTGCCAACTTAGAACAGGGGCTGGGAGAGTATTTATCCCTCAGTCTGTTTAAAGAGCTATGAGCCCAGTGAAAACACATCATTTTAATAGTGGTAACCAACTGTCCTCCAACCCCATTCCAATTAAAATGAGAAGAAATGGACCAAAGCAACAAGGCAATTTCTATTTTACAAATAAAACGTTTCTAAATTTGGAGCGGATAACTCTGGAAGGTTAATAGAATCTTACCATCACTGAAGGTCATCTAGATGGATGTTTGCATTTTCTGTATGATGTTTCTACCAAGATTGTCATCATCTCTTGTGCCCACCTTCCCCTTTTCCAGCACTGACCTCTGTCAGAAGGCCTCCCCAGTTCTCTTCTACTTCCTTCCGCCATTTCTTTAGCTCATCAGCTCCTTCGACTTTTCCTTCTCCACTTTCACCCACATACCAGTGGAGAACCACCGGACCCCAGTCCCCAGCTCTCAGTGTCCTTCAAGCTCCTCTTGACCATTCTCTCCCCTGATTACTGCTGGAGGGGCTTCTTCCTGTCCCCTCTGCCTCTCCTCACTCCCATTCCCCCACTTCCCCAGGCAGGCCTGAGGGGCCTTCTCTGCCCCTATTCTTCCCTTCTTTCTTCAAGGTACAGTCTCACAGAGTCTACTGTGATCTTTGTCAGCAAATCGCTGTGTTATCTTAGATGTTCAGTACTGAATCAGTGATTTCAGGAATATCACACTTCTGGGTGCCTCTACTGGCCATCTGTAAGATGGGGACACATCCTCTTTCTCTGGGCAGTTAATTCTTGGGCTCTTTACTAGAAAGTCTTTCAAAACTGTGTTTGCTGGGTGGGTGAGGTGGCTCACGCCTGTAATCCCAGCAACTTGGGAGGCCCAGGTGGGAAGATCACCTGAGGCCAGGACTTCACGTCCAGCCTGGGCAACAGTGAGATCCTGTCTCTACCAGAAAAATAAGAGATAATAATAACTGGTGTGGTAGTGCATGCCTGTAGTCCTGGCTACTCAGGAGGCTGAGGCAGGAGGATGGCTTGAGCCTGGGAGCTCACGGTTACAGTAAGCTATAATTGTGCCACTGTACTCCAGTCTGGGTGACAGTGTGAGGCCCTGTCTTAAAAAAAAATAAATAAATAAACCCCAAACCCCAAATGGTGTTTGCTCTCAATATGGAGGGTGCCCTGCTGCATGGCCTCCGAGCTCTGGGTTCTTCTCAATTCCTGAGTCTGTAACTCTGTTGATATGACTAGGTAGCTCCTGCAATGTGCCATGGCATCAGAGTTCCATCATCTAGGGAGGCAGTAGAGTGGACTAGCCACAGGATTCCGAGATTACGGAATGTGTGCTGGCAACAGGGACCACCACTGAACCCATGGTAAGTAGGTGCTCTGGTTTTTTTTTTCACTTCTAGCTCTTCTTTGATCATTAGATATCTAATTATTAACTCAACATGTGTTTGTTTTTCTGGTGTTATAGATCCATATATGCTTACCTACCTATATTGTACCATTGATCATACATTATCATAGAATATAGGCCACATGGAGTTTTACTTATAGCTGTATCTCCTCCCGCCCTTTCCATTTTTACCTCTGTAGAGGTTGATTCTTCTGGGGACTTAGACAGATGATTTCTTTGATAGTTCAGGCTTTTCCCTAAGTTCTTACTTGCCCTCAACCTGGCTACTTTTCAGTATGCACATGGTTTTTGAGGTAAGACTGTGACCCTTTTGGTGTCTTACTAAATTATTTCATGACTATGAATTTTTATATTAAATAGTGTTTCTTACCAAGATATCATACTCTTACTTCTGGAGATTAAACTTGGTTGAAAATAGAATTTTGGGATGCTCTGTAGAAATTTTAGACTAGAAAATTATCAGTCTTATGCATTGGCTATTGGTCATAAGCATCATAACCTCCTATGTGGAATAGAATAATTGGAGTCAACTTCTTATCACTTTTGAAGTTGAATAAAATGAATCTATTTTCTCCAGGCTGTTGTTTAACTCGGTGTGTTGCCTCTGTATGATTTTTGTTGTGATTTTTTTTTTTTTACCAGATTTGGTGATTGAGAGTTGTCTTGTTTCCACAGAAATATTATTAATAGAATAGAAAATTGATGATTTATTAAATGCCCACTACTTAGGCAATTAAAATATTATTTAGTTTGATAGAGGGACAGTTACTTGCTTGTTTCTATATTTTGAGGTCATTTTTACCAGTTGATCAAAAACTTACATAGGGGTTGCTGGTTTTCTTTACAGAGCTAAAGAGACATTTCATTGTTTATCTAAACAATCCACCTGCCAGTTTTTCTGGGGGGTTTATTTCTTAGTTAAATCTACTGGGAGTTTTCCCCGACTTGAGTTTGACTGCTTGCGTTCAAATCCACACTGTTACTTACTAGTGTGTGGCCTTAAGTAACACATTGCTTACCCCTTTCTCTGCCTACATTTCCTCATCTGTAAAATGGATAATGATTGTATCTACCTAGAAGAACTATTGGGAAGACCACACAAGCTAACCTGTGTAAAACCCTCAGTCACCTTTATTGATTTTCAAAGTGTACCATTTTGAGGACCATTATAGTTGACCTGTCAGTTTAAAAATAAGATGCTGGGTTTCAAATTTATAATCATCGTGTTAAAGATTTGAATCAAGCTGATGTGTTATAGGCTTGGCATAGAGAAAATACTGTCTAGAGTAAACATCACAGCTGAGTGGAGAAACCGCCAGACTGACAACCAGAAGTTCTGGTTTCTGCTCCAAGTTCTGTCAATTATGAGCTTGGAAAAATCACTTCACTGCTCTGACCTTTAGACTCCCTATCTGTGAAAATGGGGAAAATAGTATTTTCCTTGCTGAGCTTACATGACTCTTAAGAGAAGTAATTAGCCTTTGTCAATGAGAGAATATATAAGAACTTAAAAAAAATTAAACTGCATACTCTGCAGTTGTGAAGCAGGACTTTGACTGAAGGCTGGCAGGGATTCTAGATTCCTCAGATTTTCTCTAGCTCGGTTAAAAAAAAAAACAAACTCAAGGCACAAACTATCTTTAGTAACACCCAAGCATTTGGAAGATCAGATTGTTCATGATTTCTTAATGAATGTGTTATAAAGATTCATTAAATTAATGAACTGATAAAAATTAGTGGCAGTGATAGGGAAAAAAATTGACAAATGTTAATTTTTAATTTTTTTACTTATTCCTCACAGTGGTTCTCAGTTGGGAGTATGAGCTTCTGGAAATGTGGAGGAGGGAACATTTTTTATTGCCTCAGTGACTGAGGAGTCACACTGACATTTGGTGGACAGTGGCTAGGGATCCTTACTCCTCAAAACGCACAGGGGAATTTGAGGAAGAACTGCATGGTCAAAATTCTCATAGAGCCCCCATTAAAAACAACTTGTTAATACATCTGATTTCTATACACTTATATGGGTTATACTGTAGGTACATAGCCAGTACTATTTTTTCTAGAAAACAAGTGGCTGTACTTCATGCTTTGATAAATTGAAGATGCTTCTCCCACTTCTCTTATCTTCACTGATTTTATTTTCAAGGCTGTAGCCATATCCTGTGACCTCTTTGCCTCTAATTCTCTATAGATGTGTGCAATACAGAAAGCCAAGTGTGGGTCAGCAGTTGATGCTGTCAAAAGAACAAGTAAAGCCTCTGGACACTGTTAGCAGAAAACAATCTTAGAACTTTATTTTTATTTGATTTTGAACAGGTAGTACTTTCACATGGTTTAGAAATTAAAACAACATAGAAAGTGTACTTTAAAAAACCTCACTCTATTCTAGTTCTACTGTCTCCATTATTCTCCATCTCCTGTAAGTTGCTGTCTTTATTAGTTTCTTATGCTTCCATTGTTTCCTTGTGCAAGCAAATGGATCTATTTCTATTCACCCCCTTTTCTTTTCTTTTTTTTTTTTTTTTTTTTTTGATACGGAGTCTCACTGTCGCCCAGGTTGGAGTGCAGTGGCACGATCCCGGCTCACTGCAACCTCTGCTTCCCGGGTTTAAGAGATTCTCCTGCCTCAGCCTCTGGAGTAGCTGGGATTACAGGCGTGTGCCACCACGCCCAACTAATTTTGTATATTTAGTAGAGACGGGGTTTCACCATGTTAGCCAGGCTGATCTCGAACTTCTGATCTCAGGTAATCTGCCTGCCTTCGTCTCCCAAAGTGCTGGGATTACAGGCGTGAGCCACCGTGCCCGGCCATTCACCCCCTTTTCTAAGACAAAAGCTCTTGTTTGCTTGGTTTTCAGCGTACTCATCACTAGTGTAGTTCTACACTCTTCCCCAGGTGTGGGCTGTTCTCTTTAACGTATTTAGCCACAGCAGCTATTCATCTGTTTCATCTTGTTGGGGCCATTTCTTCTGGAGCCTCTGACCAGCCCCAGGCTGGACTATCTGTGCCCTAGGCCTGCCATACTGGGATTTCCTTTCACCGTCATCCTTTTCCCTTTTTGTGCTAGCTCCCATTTCCTGGATCCTCTTTCTTTGTTTACTCCCTTATTTTCATGGAGCACATTTTTCAGTAGCTTTCAGAGAAAGGAAGGAAAACTTTTAGACAGTGCATATCTGAGCATGTCTTTATGGTGTTCCTACAATTTTTAAAAATACTTTGGCTGGGCAAAATAATTCTGGGTTGAAAAATATACTTTACTGTTAGATGAGTGATTATGCAGGTCATATTTAAGTATGTAAACTTATTTCCTCCAAAAAATGGGAACATTAATTTATTTGAGCTGGATATGCTTCAAAATGATTCTGTCTTTGATGGAACATAAGGACTAATAAATAACATAGAAAAAATTCCTAAATTTTGGAGAGCTAACCTTTGATTCTGGTACCATGTCTCTTCTACCAGAAGTTAAGGATGTTTTTTTGAAGCTGGAGGAAGGGTATCTTTTAGTCAGGTGATTAAACCTTGATGTAAGGATATTATAGACATTGTTCACTATATCACGGTCAATCTATGAAGGAAAAAATTTTCACACTTTATTAACAATAATAGCAGTATTTCCCTTGGTTTTGGAAACTGTGAGTACTGTTCCTGTTTCCCTCTTTAGTCCACTGCCAGGTGGTTCACAGCCAAATTCGAGACCCACAACTAGCATTGTGAAAGGGACCTCTTTGCCTGTGCATTGGACACCGAATACATTTTTCCTTACCCTTTACTTCTCTTTAGACTGGTTGCCTTACTTTCTTTTCTTAATTTTGTTTTGTATGCATCTTTGCCAACTTCCACAAATCCTTTTTGAATGGATGGAGGCAGCAGTAATGGAATAAAGGTTCAGAATGTCTTACCTTAAACAGCCTCACATGGGCTTTCTAAAGAGAGCATTATTTTCCATTCAATTTCTTAAGTCTTTTGTGCTGCTGTATTTATAGTAAAAGTGGTACCAGTTATCGTTAGTCATTATTGCAAGAATGCTCAACAACTAGCTATTCAAAACTAAGTTAATGGAAGCCTACAGAAATATATGATTATTAGCATTTCTTGTTTGAGGGGTTTAACACCCCACATAGCTTTCGAATTTTTCCTCTGTTAATTGAGAAGCAACTGCTGACTTCTATTTGATAGATTCCTAAGAAACAGACGTGATCACTTTGCTTGGTTCCAGAAATAAATAACAACAGTGGTTGTAGCAATGACAATAACAGCTAACATTTATTGAGCTCTCATTTTGTGTCAGGCACTGGACTGTGTTTAAATGCATTATTTAATTCTTCCAACAGCCCTATGAGGTTGATATTAAATTACTTCCTTGCTCTTTCATGCCAAATCCCCCTGAAACTCCCACATATAGATTAATCTGACCATCTGCTTCTCACTTGCTTTCTACATTTCTGAACCCTCCTGGGAAAAATCACTCCACGATGTACCTTGATGCTCCTAGACATTTGATAAAGTGTTGCCCCTCCTCCTGCCCCCACATGCCTTGTTCTGAGCAGTGCACAGAGACTATTTTAAGACTTCACTGCTCCCTAAGCCCTCTACTTCTTGACCTTACCTCCTAGTTGAGAGAACCCTGAACCCTCTCCTTCCTCAGTTTCCTGCTCTTACACCTATGAAGCTATTTCCTACCATCATCACCCTTTCCTCCTTTCTAACCAGTGATCGTTAGACAGCATTGTGCATCTTAATTACCTGGGAGCTTTTAGAAATAACTCAGCCTAGTCCTCGTCCTGAAGAGGACCGTTCAGTAGGTCTGCTGGTGAGGTGAGGAGGAGGAGGAGCCCAAGCCTGTGTTGGCTGTAAAATTGCCACAGGAGATTCTGATGGGCTCCCTGGTTAAGAATCACTGGGTCAGGTTCCAGAAGACAAAGTACCTCTTTCATTCAAGGGTGATCCCTCACCTCTCCTAAATGAAAATTCAGGAGAGAAGGAAATATGGAGCTCTGGTTCCCAGCTTCTTCTTTTTTTGTTTTCTTCAGGACTAGATCTGCTCTCATTATTCCTGTCTCTCCTCAGTTTTCATTGACCCCCTTTTCCCTGTATTCTTCACTAGCTTCCAACTAGATATGTGTTTGTCTCAACCCTGTGAGCACTGGCCTGATTCTCCTGCTATTCCCAGGCAAACCCCTTAAAGAAAGATTATAACATCACTCAGGTATACACACCACTTTGTTATTCTGACTTCAGTCCTCCCTGAATCTGGTAGAGATCATCAGCACCAGTAGAAGCCAAATCCGAAGGACGCTTTTGGGATCTGTCTCATCTTGGTATCTTTGGGGGCATATGGTGCTTAGGAGACTCTTTCCTTGTCTTTGTGACACCATCCACTCCTAGTTGTCCTGCTTAATTTCTTTCATGTGTTAAGTGTTTCCAAAAAATATTTTTCAGCAACATTAAGAATAATATGGAACTGTATTTACAAAAAGGAGGATGTGGAAGAATATTCTTGGGGAGGAAATGTCTTTCTGGCTGGGGTCTGGATCTAGCACTTTATTTATTTATTTATTTATTTATTGTGAGATAGGAGGGTCTCACTCTGTTGCCCAGGCTGGAGTGCAGTGGTGCAATATGGCTCACTGCAGCCTTGACCTCCTGGGCCCAAATGATCCTTCAATCTTAGCCTCCCAAGTATCTGGGACTACAGGAATGCACTACCATGCTCAGCCAATTTTTTGTAAAATTTTTTGTAGAGATGAGGTCTCACTATGCTGCCTCGGCTGGTCTCAAACTCCTGGGCTTAAGCAATCCTCTCGCCTTGGCCTCCCAAAGTGTTGGGATTACAGGTGTGACCTACCGTGCCTGGCCTGAATCTAGCATTTTCTATGAGGAAAATGAGAACACCAGGGGAAATTTGGCATGATTTCTTGAAACTCTTGCAAATCAAATTCAGAAAACTAGATTTAGGTCTTAGATTTTTGTCCTAGATGGCAAGGGAACTGTGGGCCCAGAGTATGGTTTCTACCAATTTAAGAAAACCCATCAGGTCCCGGGTCCACTCTGAGTCTAGGGCAGATCTGGGGCACCCAGGGTGTATATTCCTGTGAGAGCCTTACTCCTGCTGTGTCCTGTGATCCTGACAATGGGCCAGCTTCCCAGAACATTGGTGGACAGCTGTATGCAGCCCAGAGTAGAACAGCTCGGCAATAATAACTTTTTACTCCTTTCTGCTTTGATTTTTATTACTTCCCCACCTCCTGATTTTTCCATACAAAAGTAAAGCATACTTGCTACAGAAAACTTGGAAAATACTGAAAGAGAATGGAGAATAAAATAAATTTTTTATCACTATAATGTCACTCAGATATACATGCCACTAAACACGTATATTTTCTTCCAGTCTTCTTACTTTTGCAAGCACACATATATATGTTTTTATAAGTAAAATTTGGATCAAACTGTATATAGTGTTGTTTATTCCTTTTTTGTTTTTTGGTAATAATATTTATTGCCATAAAAAATTCTTATCAACATAATTTTTTTATCGGTTGCCTACTATTCTCTAGCATTGAGATAGTCATAATTTATTTAACTAGGTCTCTGTTGTTTAACATTTAGGCTGTTTCCTATTTGTACTCTTATAAATAATGCTACATTTAATAACCTTGAGCAGAATTGCTTGTGCATTGCTGGTGATTTCTTTAGGACATGTTTTTAGATGCTGAATATTGTTGGATTTCTGGGTGGGACCAGCACTCTTGTGATTGTTTGGCCTCCAGCTAAACCTGCCTCTGGGAGGGAGGGAGGCTCAGGGTCCAAGGGAATTTGCCTGCTCCTGTTTGCATCTACTTGAGCTCTTTTAGACTGCATGTTGAATTTCAGAAGGAGGCATCAAAGCATTTCTCCAGGAATCCATAAATGGCAAGTCCTGCCACAGGTGAAATTGAGCACATATGCTTCAGAATAATTCCCTATTTGATAGAGACTGGTTTTGAATTTTCTCTATTCTCTGCATGCTTTGGAGAAATTCTGAATTATTTCAAAGAACAGCAATGGAGCACCTACAATTTGTCAGACATTGTGCTTACCTCTGAAGTTAGAAAAGTAAGTAAGCTCTCAAGGGGCTCACTTGCAGTGTAGAAGACAGAGAAGTGACCTACTGTGGGTGAGAAGTCCCCTGGGAGCACAGAGAGGAGAGCCTCTGATTCTTGGGGCTAAGGAGGCAGCAGAGGGCAAGAACACCTGTGCTGCAGAGGTGAAGTCTGAGCTGAGTCTTGAAAAATAAGAATTATTTCTTTCGTACGGAGGGGAAAAATGTTCCAGGGAAAGGGAATAGTGTGTGCAAAACTGCAGACTTGCGATGGTTACATGACACGTCAAAGGAACCATGAATACACTCCCATAGGTAGAATGTAGGTAGAATGCCCCTACCTCAGTGACATACCAGGTGATGGGGCTGCATAGACAGTTATCCTTTCATTCCTGGGGCTTGAGCCCAGTTGTTCATTTACCTCAGTGTGCCTTATGAAAAAGTTTAGGTAACACTGATTTGGTACATAGTAGAAGGACAATGGGAGCTGAGCTGGAAAGTTGGACTGGGTACAAATTGTGAAGGGCTGTGTGGGCCATACCAAGAGGAGTTTGGATTCCTTTGTCAGCTGTTTAGAGATAGCCAATCTCTCTGTGAAACACTACTGTGCAGGTACTAAATAGAAGATATGGATTCCCAAGTTGCTTAAAAACACAGAAGCTGGTGTTCTTTTACGCTATCCCAACAATTTCGTAACATGTATTTTTCCCCCTAAATAAAAATGTGATGCTATTAGCTCTGTATACTGACCTGTTTCACACCTCTTTGGGGAAAATATTGCAATGTTGGAACTACACAGTGGAAACTTGCAGTTGTGAAGTCTGTTTTGAGCTGGAAAAAGGTGACAGTCTAAGGAGGAATGATTTGAAAAGTGCTAATAGTAAAACATCAGTTATTTTGGTATCTACAAAAGTCTGTGCTATTTACTGTGACTGGTGTGAAAAGAATCAGTAAATGGGAAAATTGTGTTTTGGCCAACATAAATTAAAAGTATGCATATCACCAGCCTGTTGTATTTTCTTTCTCCAGCATTTCTTATTCATTAAATATCACTTCATATCTAAGGTCTAAGAATTCTCCAGCAGTGTGGTTAAGAATAAGATAAAAATGTTGAGATTCCCCAAGGGATATTAGACAGCAGTTTCTTTTATTATTTGGTTTTAGTTTGTTTATTTTGGTAAGTGTTGTAAATCTAGACCACAGAAATAAGCATAAAAGAAAAAAAGCGTGTATGTTGTATTATAGAAATAGTTTCATTGATAAACTCTACATACTAATATCTAATGTATTTGGATTGCCTGAATGTGTTTGGGTTTTAGGAAATTATAATATACAAGCCTCTGTATATGTGTATGCATTTTCTTTAAGATATAAACATATTACAGTGATATCTCTATATTTCAAATGTAAATTTTTTTGGTAAGTTGTCATTTTGTAAGTTCGATTGTCAATACAAAGAGGTGTTTTATTTTCTCTCTGTTCTTAACTAATTTCACTTCAAGATGAGGGGAATGTGGAGTTCACATGGGTAGCTGGGCAGTCAGCATGTTTTCATTCCAGTCACGATAGGATACTGAGAATTTCTGCTTCCTAGGTCCTCCTAGTCTACATCTCTCTGAGCAATAGTTTACTTGAGTCAAAGACATTCAGAAATACTGTGTTAAAATTCAGAGGCGTTACTGTGTTGGCCAACTTTTTAACCCCCCAACATAGCTAATGTAAAGGTGAATAATGTACTCCTTGGTCCGTCACCTCACTCTGTCCATCAATCTGTCTGTGGCTAACAAAAGGGGAGTGTAGCAGACTGTAGAAAACAAGACAAGTGTTGAGTAGGAAAATCAGAGACAGATGCCCTTCGCACTCTTGTATCAAAGGCTTTAGAGACTGGCACATCAGACCAAAAGTGATTTGTGAGGGTGTGAATAGATTTTCCAGATGCCACATTTCAGAGGCTTTCAGATGAAGCTTCTGCTCCTTAATCTCTTTCCTTCTACCCCTTGCCTGCTTTCTCTTCATGCCAGTGTATTTCTGGCAATTCAGACTCTTGGTGAGAAGTAGATTTAATTTTTATAAACATACTTGCTGGAAGTCATTGGTCTGAAAAAATTGTCTGTACCTAATGCATTGATATTTCTGTAGGTCTTCAATATGAGTCCATTTTTATATTCCATCTTTAGTGGTTTCATCATTGAAGTTGTCAACACAGACACAGTAGACTGAATCAACATGAAAAATACCTTAAAAATGGTAGTCTGAGAGTCAAAAGAATCAACTGAGAATGGCTAGGAAGTGGAAGAGCCTTGTTTCTACTAAGTCTTCTCTTCTTGCTACTGGCTTTCTTTAACTGCTAGAAAATTTCAATTCTTAGAAGATAGGATTTGCACACCTATGAATAATTGATGTGTAACTACTTATGAAGAGTTTTCACTGGCATTGAGGGCCTGCTGTTGGCTGAATAGGTTGGTTTAGCACCATAAGTCACTGACATACTTTTAGCTTTCTGCCACCTGGAGATCAGTATAAAAGCTGGTGAGTTCAGCTTCTCAAAAGGTTAAACAATTGCCATATAACCAGGCAATTCTACTCCTACGTATTGTGTACCCAACTGAAATGAAAATATGTCTATACAAAAAGTTGTGCACAAATGTTCATAGCAGCGTTATTTGTAATAGCCTAAAGACAGAAACAATACAATGTCCATCAACTGATGAATGGAGGAATAAAGTTTGGTGTCTCCAAACAATGGCATGTTGCTTGGCCATAAAAAGGAATGAAGTAATGATATATGCTACTATGTGAATGAACTTACAAAACATTATGCTAAGTGAAAGAGGCCAGTCACAAAAGGTCACATATTGTATGATTTCATTCTTATGGAATGTCCAGGACAGAGAACTCCGTAGAGAAAGTAGATGACTGATTGCTTAGGGTTGGGGGGGCAGTGGGTGGGAGGATGAGGGGTCTGAGGAGTGGTAGCTACAGGGTATGGGGTTTCTTTTTGAGGCGATGAAATGTCCTAAAATTTATGGTGGTGATGGTTGCACATATCTGAGAATACACTAAAAACCATTGACTTGTAAACTTTGATTGGATGATTGTATGGTTTATGAATTATATCTTAATAAACCTGTTTTTTAAAAAGCAAGGAGTGAAAAACACGAGAAACATAAAATTCAAGACATTACCCTGGGCTATGAGAGGAGGGTACATCAGGGAAAGACAGTCAGATGATTTCCAAGTGGTAACGTTCTGTTTCCTAAGTTTCCTAAGCAGGGTGGTGGGTACACGGATGTTCACTCCGTTCAATTTATTATTATTTGAACTGCACGCATATGTCACAAATGCTCATGGTATCTGTATTTCATAAGTTAAAAATAACTGTAATCTAAAAAACCTGGTTAATCGTAGAAAAGATATCTTTTCAATATACAGTTTTCAAATATCAAATGTCTTTCTATGGATACTTACTGTTTTATCTTATTGTCATTTGTCATCACCATGCCTATTTCCTAGTACTTCTTGAGTGCCTGTGTCCATTTCCAGTGTCCTATGCAATGTAATGGGACATATAATGTAGGCTCTGTATTTAACTGGAGAAGAGATGTTATTAATAGTTGTAATAATTGCGACCATTTTTGAGGGGCCTGTTAAGTGCCAAGCACGGTTAGAGGAGCTTTATATGCAATCTTTGATTTGAGTCCTATAATGACCCTATGAGGTGTGCCTGATAATCCCTGTTTTACTGATGACAAAAGGAAGGCTTGGAGAGATTAAGTAAATTGTTCAGAATCAAAGAGCCAGTTAGCGAGGGATAGATCCGGAATTTCACCCCGTGTCTGTCTACTGCCAGAATCTGCTGTTAACGATTATGCCATATTAGCTTTTACTGTGCCAGTTTTTCCTGAACTTCTAAAACTCATATCTCCCTTTGATAAACTTCATAAAAATATCATGTCTTTTCCCCAGTTGAGAATCTCAATCGTTTTTTCTTTCTCCATCAGCCAAGATCACCTTATCAAGCCGTATATTGTTTAGTTTATAATGCAGAGAGCATTTGTTTTCTAGGTATAAAATTAAACCAAATATGTGCTCTCAAATGACGTATTTCCCCGGAGTTTTAGACATGTTCTCTCCTCCCCCTGCAACACACACACAGCTCAAGAATCTTAGGTGCGAGACTGTTTTGCCAATCTGAGAATCCATTTTTAAAAAGGTGCTTCATAGGCAAAGGCAGTATTTGATCAATGCCAGATGGATAGAATAGCAGGTAATTTTCAGTGGAGCACAAATAACAAAATTATAGAATGGAAAGAAACTAAGAAACAATTTTTCTTGAATTCCCATTTGTTTTTTAGACAAAACCCAAGAGTAACAAGAATTGAAATCCTGTTTGGTTGCTGATGATCTCTAAAAGCTAGGTGTCTTATGAACTGAGGATGAGATGTCATAAGGTTTGTTCATCCATCCTTTCAATTATGTTTTGATCTTCAACTCCATGCCAGGCAGTGTCCCTGGGGTTTTTCATCAGAAATGTGCAAGGCACAACCTTTCCCTTTGTGGAGATCTTGGTCTTTTGGGGGACATAGATCAAGAGCCCCAAATTAGAGTGTGGTAATAATATAATAAAGCATAGGAGGCTGTGGGACCTCAAAAGATTGACATTTACTTCAACCTTGGGGATAGAAGTGTCAGAGAAAGTTTTCAGGTAGTCAATACTTGAGCAGAATTCTAAAAGTTATATTGAGTTCAGAGAAATTGGTATATTGAGGAAAATTTATAATTTGGCAGGAGACAAGGGGAGATGAGCTGCCAGTGTTGGTCTGGGACATGTCATGAAGGACCTCTGACTCCATGCTTACCCATAGGTAAAGGGAATTCATTGGCTGGTTCAAACAGGGGGAAGGGTCACAGGACAAGATTTGCCCCAGATAAAAATTACTCTGGTACCAGCCTCTGAGGATGCATTTGAAAGAGGAGGACAAGTTCAAGGGAAAAGATGGCTGTACTCATTTGAGAAGTTTTAAGCATTTCGTCCATGGCATGTGCAATTGATTGTAAGATGCTATATTATTTTATATACTAAAAGAAGAAAACCAGAATCTTAATTTTCAGATGCATCCCAATTCCAGAAATGTCAAAATGTGAAAAAATATGTATTTTAGACTTGATGAATTGCAGTAAGTACTTAATAAATATCGGTCAAAAGAATGCATGAATCTTTTCTGTCCGTGTCCTGTGTAGATTTGGAATAGAATAAATACCTGATAAATGAACATGACATTTGATTTCTAAGTTGTATAGCTTCCCTTAGTTTGACAAATGAAAATTACGAAAGAGATCAGTTACTGTGTTCCTTGAAGGCTTGTCCTTCTGTTGGTATTAACAGTCACTCTTGATAGCAAGAATTTTGGAGAAAAAAGGTTTGAGAAATGGCTGAATGAGGAAACTATGCTATGAGAGGGTAACGTTATTCCCTTTGGATTTCAGGCCTAATAGTGAAAGCTGTGTTTGAGAACCTACTGGCTGCTTGTAGGTCCATCATATGGTTCAAGAGGAGGAGTTTAAAAACCAGTGGTAGGGTCATGGCATGATTGAAAAGAAATATCGAGGGATAATTTAGAGATCTGCCCTTGGGGGCACTTTTAAAGGGAAATTGCTGTTTGTAAGCTGCTCTCTCCTGCAGCAGCTGGGTATTTCCTGAATCTAGGGCCTTTCTTGTCTGTTTTCCCCCTATATTTGCTCAGTGGGATTCCAGCCAGGAATGTCTAAGAGACAAGGGCAGCTGGGTCTGCACTGACCGCGAGATTGTATTTTGCTTCTGCGGCTGTTTTGCTTCAGCTTGCACCATTTGGGGGCACTTCTACAGGCAGAATGCAGCAAGCACTGCCAAACTTAGATAGATTCTTTGCATTCTCCATGTGTTCGTACTTGTGCAACCTGAGAAAGTGCACTGAGCTAGGAGAGAGTGGGCAAGGCAGGTGGTGGAAAGTGCTGTCTGCTCTTAGACATACTGAAAAAGTGGGCCCTTTTACAGTGGTTCCTAGAAATGCCTGCATTGTAAAGGGAGAAGGCTCATTTTTTTTTTATTTTAAAATGTGACAGAAAGCTTGTGGAAGTGCTTTCTTTCAGATAAATGGTTATTACTACCAAGGATTATTACTCTTTTTGCCCAGAAAATAGTTGAAAATTTCCTCACTGATGAGACAAAGTATGCATTGAATACACTGAATACAGTATGATAACTGTATTTTCTTTCTTTCTTTTCTTTTTTTTTTTTTTTTTGAGACAGAATCTCGTTCTGTCACCCAGGCTGGAGTGCAATGGCACGATCTCGGCTCACTGCAGCCTCCACCTTCTGGGTTCAAGTGATTCTCCTGCTCAGCCTCCTGAGTAGCTGGGATTACAGGCATCCCCCACCACACCCTGCTGATTATTGTATTTTTAGTTGAGTCAGGGTTTTGCCATGTTGGCCAGGCTGGTCACGAACTCCTGACCTCAAGTGATCCACCCACTTTGGCCTCCCAAAGTGCTGGGACTTCAGGCCGAGCCACTGTGCCCAGCCTGTATTTTCTTAATAATAAAATATGATCAACGCTGATGGTCTTTGGGAAGATGAAGGAAGTGCTGTTTTCATATGCTGAAAGTGCTACACATTAATTATGTCATTCTGCCTTTATCTGGTCTTGCTGACTCCATCCCTCTCCTCCCCTTTCTCATAGCCACCAGTTTAGACATTGTGACCAGATTAAATTTCTGGAATCACCCTTTTCAATATACAGTTTTCAAGTTTCAAATGCCATTCTCTGGATCCTTATTGTTTTATCTTATTGTCATTTGTATCACTGTCCCTATTTCCCAGTATTTCCTGAGTGCCTGTGTCCATCTCCAGTGTCCTATGAAATGTAATGGGGCATATAATGTAATTTCTTTTTAATGAATTAGCTGATTTTGTGAGGACTTGAAAGGAGATTTTGAGCAATTTGTTAAAATTCTAGTTATTCTTCAGCAATTATAGAGTTTTGGGAACTTCTGGATTATGAAGTTCTTTTCTTGCAGACATTAGCAGGTTTTTCTTGGTGTCTAGGTTTTTCTAAGCATTGTCCTTTACATCTTATGGTCATCAAAAAAAATTGTCCTACAGGTGTCTTGTGACAGAAAACAGAAATAAATATTTTTGGAAACTGAAGGTTGGTTTGCATCTGTTCACTGATCACAGTTATTGTTATATACTATAGGAAAGGGTAAGACTTTTTCATCCACTATTTTAGATTCAGTACTGGGGGCCTACAAGTTAACTGAAAAAAGACAGATTAACAAGAGAAAAGAACAGATTTAATTACATACATATGCATGGAAGTTCACAAAGAAATATAACTTAAGGAAGTGGTTAGAATTGGGGGCTTATATATACCATCTTAACAAAGAACAATAAATTGTGGCAATATGACAAGAGAAAAGAAAGGGGTTTTGGACTTCTAGGGGTACTTATTTATGTGAAGATAAGTATATGGGGAAAACTAATGAAAGATAAGATTTATTACAGTCAATTTTGTTTATGCAGATTGAAGTCAGTGCCATCTTCAGCAATAAGAGTTGCCTCCTCTTCCTGGTATGGGAGAGGAAAGAGAGAACATCTTCACTGAGGAAAATTTATGCCCTGACTTTAGGCAGATACAAGGGGAGTAGACAGCTTTATATACATCTGATGTTTGTCAGTTGCCTTTAGCTCAAAATAATTCTTATGCCATCATGGCATGTTTTAGACTGACAAACATTGATCCCCTTCGGTACAAACACTGTTCCTCTATTACACACACACATGGAGATGATAAGACAGACAAAAATAGTTTTTGTCTTTTGGGCTTACAGTCTAGATGAAAGACAAATCATCCCAGCGAAGGTGATTTATGTGAGATAAATGCATCTCACATATTACAAATGGTAGATGCATCCTCTGGGAAGATGTTAATTAGTACTGGAAAAGTGCCTCAACTTATTCTCAGATCACTCAGGCAAGTCACAGCTCAGCATTTGTTTATTCTGTTATGAAATGGAGGTGAATATACACTTGCCCAGCTTGTGTTGAAGGACCGTTGAAAGGTCACCTAAGATTCTAGATATTAGAGTCCTTTCAGATGATCAGTGTTTGGGCTCCCTTTCCTATAAATCACACATGCACAAAGCATAGTATCTAGTTTTAGCAGGTTCACAACATCCATGGGCACAGGTTAAGAACTGCTGGATAAAATATAGCTCCAGTCCAAGAGCAGAATAAGCCAGCACAGTTATCTCATGAAGGATAGGTGTGAGGTTAATATGCACCCTCTCTGCCAGTCAGAGAAGCAGCTTGATGGCCTTGAACTTTCAGCTGAAAGCTAATGTACCAAGAGGTGAGATCACCAACATCACCCAGCATCATGTTCTTCCTCTGGAGGCAAATGCCAAGTGCAGCATGGCAGTTATTCAGCAGCTTCTGTGAACCTAACCAAGGCATTTAGTTCCATTAATTGAGTGGCTGTGTGCGAGACCCTGTGAAATAGGGGCTTTTCATAGGCATTTGCAATTTGTAAACAACTGCTCAGTCCATGAGGGAATGACGGTGAGAACGAAAGGCCTTAAAAAGAGATCGAAGGTGGTTACTGCAACCAGAGGTACAAAAAGAGGCTGTAACCTTGCATAGTTATTATTTATTTTCTACTTTCAGTCCTACTTGTGCTGCATTCAAACACGGTGTGGCAGTAATTAACACTGAGTGAAGGTTTGACAGTTGGGTGGCATTTTAATAGCTAAACGAAAGTACCGAGAGTAATTACCCGGGATCTCTTCCATATGGCTGATCATGCACTTGCACTTTTGGGCAGAAAGAGGCACCTCACTCACTAGGCTTTGCTCCCCTTTGGTAAATTCGTGCCACAAAGGCTCAGAGGTCTCCTCACATGTTCCCTGAAAATCAAATGTGTTGATAATGGCTTGGCAACTGAAGGTGCATGAGAACCTTAATTACTTTGGTAGTCAGGACCACCTTGTCACACAGCTCCAGAGGAACCAATCAAGATGTATTTGCATCATGTTGTATTGTATATGAAGGGTGCCTCTTGGGGTTGTGTGCAGAGGCACATCAGGTTGCCAGCCTCAAAATAGATGTAATGGGTTGGCAGAAACAAGGGGCTTCTCCAGGGAAAGGTTGTCAGGGAATTTGTTGTAAAGTTTCAATAATGAACGGCTTTTATGTCTTGATGCTCTCTGCTTCACTATGTGGCTGCCATATTGCCATTTCATTGGAAACCCTGATCAATCCCCTAAGTACATGCTGGTAGGAGTACCCCTGTGGGCTGGCTGCACTTCAATTTTAACACAAACATTGGCAAATGGAGGACATTATCTTCCTAAAAGAATCTCCTGTGGCCACATACATGGCACAGAACAGGCTACTCTATGTTCCGTTAAATGATTCATAGATCCCCTAATGATGGGTTTAATGGGCATGTAACATCTGTCCATTAAGATTATGTCCTCCCAGGTGCTCTAAAGTTTCCATAGCAAGTGCTCTACAAATGTTGGTACCTCGTGGTGTCTGCTTCTTGAGACTGGGGTCTTGACTTTTTATTCATAGATCTTTAGTGTACAGTACAGAACTGGCACAGAGCAGGCACTCGGAAAATATTTTTGGGAATTATTAATGTGCAATTGAAAAATCTGTTTATGGTTGCTGACACAGACTTGGTGAAATGAGCTTTTTGTATCAAAATTTTCTAAGTAATAGTGTTAGCCAGCACCAACGGACACAGTTTCTGGTACTTCCATTGCAGAAGTCACATTCCCATTGTTTTCTGGGCAGTAGGAAAAAAGATGGCATTTTTGAGGACCTAATAAGTACCAGGTGGTTGTGCTAGATCCCTTGTGAACAGATTGGAGATTGGGCAAATCCTGACTTTAATCACTTATTTGTTGTTTTGGGGCCTCAGGTTTCTCTTCTATAAAATTAAAATACTAATGTCCACCTTAGAGAGTTCATGTCAGGATTACAGAAAATGCATGTAAGTGCTTAGCACATAGTAAGTATACAAGAAATGAACACTGCTATTAATCAACTCCTTTGTGTAACACTGAGAACTTACTGTCAGTTTTGATACTGTTAAAAAACTAGAGATACCAATAACATTCAAAAACTGTATGTACTTCAAGTAGCTTGCAGTCTAGAGGTGGAGTTAGGCACTTAAACACATAGTTACAATACATGGCAAGTGCTATAGTCAAATACTGTTAGAACACAAAGGAGAAGCAACTAAGCTCTGCTGGGGAGGAGGAAATGGGATTTAGGAAGGGCTTTGTGTACACGATGCTTACTCTGATTTGAAGATGGAAATCAGTTTTTAAGGAAGTTGTTTGTGAACAGACTAACTGAAAGCAGTTGAAGTAGAACACAAAGGTAGTGTGTGTGTGTAAGGATGCCTATGTGAGTGCTGAAGCAGTAGGGAAGAAGTCACCCTTTGTGGGAGACACAGTTCATCCCCAAGACACTAGGAAACTCAACAAAGTAACATAGATTGCTCAGTCACATAGCTAATGCGTGGCAGGACCTGAATTTTAAACTGAAATGATTTCTACAATGACCAGTGCTCTTTGCATCTTTTTATACCTAATTTTAAAAATATGTAAGTTACTACATTTTAAAGTGTTCTTTGTATTACTTCTTAGAGACCCCTAACCTTTTCAGAAGAGTATCTCTATTCAATAATGTGTGTCAATGGGAAGTTGTTATGTTTTATAAAAATAAGATTCTAAGCCAGGCCTTTCTGTGGTGGTTGTTGGACATCTCTGCCCAGAGGAAATTGATTAGGAGGGATAAGATGGCACTAGAACTGGAAGCTGAGGGCAGTCATGCCAGCTCTGGCCCAGGCCAGTCTTTGTATTGAGTACTTTAGGATATATGGAAATCACCAAAATACATACAGGCTGTTTAATTATTTTGTATCACTCCTGGAGATGGTCAAGTAAAATAAACACATTAAATAGTCAATTAGTTCACTGGCAGCAATCTTTCTTTGGAAAGATCTGCTCCCCCCCGTCCCCTCCCCCCACACTCCTTGCTCACCTATATTTTTCTGATAGTACAGTCATTATTTCAGTTCTGTTGGAGTCCAAGTTCTGAACCACTAGGCCATTTTAACTGCAAATTTCTCCTGAGAACATACAATCACTCTATCCCCACCTGTAAGATACCGCAAAGGGGAGAACTAATGTTTCCTGGCCAGTGCTAATTAGAAACTTCATATGCCTCACTCCTAGTGGTTTGAAATTCATAATCCTACAGGTGGCTTTGATTTAAGCCAAATAGTTCTGTTCAAGAGAGAAAGATTACTGTAATGACGCAGATTTTTCACTTCAATTGTTGTCATTATTCTTAATTCATTATTTGACTTAATAATCAGCTGCACAAAATCCATCTCTTCCTAAAAATATCCCCAGACACATACTCCTTAAGTTTCTTATCTCATAAAAGCATTTGAGTATAGTGACTGAGAAGGGCACATGAGAGGGATTTTGAAAGAACTATCCCTAGAAAGATTTGAAACAAAATGTGGAAGATGTAAGAGCCGATGTCAGGTTTTGGAGATGTGGCTGTAGGCTTGCTTTAGTTACACACACTGGCAAACACTGGTATCTCAATGTAGGAGACACTCTATCTACTAGCATTATGTAGTTAGCATTGCACTATAGTATGGTTAATGACTGAGTGGAATTCAGTAATTAAGAGTGAGAATTTCTGCACTAATAAAAGACACTTACCTCTACTGCCTCTCAAGTAGGCCTTCATTTCTGAACTTTGAACCACTCCTAGAACAGGGAACTGATAGTTTAATTGTTGGGTTGCTTATGTCTGTTTCCTCATTCTTCTAAATTGAAGCTGCCCTCTTAATGATTAAATTATTTTTTCAAACTTTTAAATTGTAAAATATGTACTGAAAAGTGCACAAAGCAAACATGCTCAGCTTATTTAATTAGCACCAGTGTGACCATCTCTCTATTTAAGGAATAGAATTGCTCTATTATTTGCCTCACAGAAAAACCTCCCTAATCCAGAGACCTGGGAGGAGCAGGGACATTTTATATTGCTGAAAGGTAAGACAATAATAATTTTTGAAGAATCTTATTCCCTTTTAGGTTTAGACAATAACTGAGAAACCCTGGAGTGGCAAAGTTTTTCAACAGAGGTCCTGGAACACCACCTTTAGCAGAGAACACTGGCTTTGATAGAGATGTCTAATTGTAATTAGCAAGTGACTGGATGTGAATGATACTTGACTGAAGATTTTTAAAAATGAGATTTCCTTTTTTATGTTATTACTTTTCTTGAAATCTATTCTATATGGACAATAGACAATTAAACTTCTGTTCAGCTCTAATTTCAGTAATTGCAAATTCTGAATGAGTAGAGGTGAAATAAGAAGCATTTATTGTGTTTGAAAATTAGGGCTATAAATGGTATAGGTGAGCAATACACTTCTGAATGTCTTTATCAAAACATCCCTGTGGGTAAAGAAGAGGAAACTGGAAACCCTAGAGATTCTGGTGGACTGACTGAGAAACCTCCACTGCAAACCAGAAATTTGTTAGCATCTTTGTGTTTTATTTTTAAACTTGATACAAACTTATTCATGTTTAATTTAACATATTAAAAAACACCACGAACACCAAAGTTTTTATGGAAAATAGGCTTTCCAAAAAGATATGCCGTGGTTGAATGCAGCTTCACAGATTCTCTGGGACCCAGCTGGTACTCTCAGAGGAAGGTATATTTAATGATGTGAAGATACATGTATTCATCTCTCTCCGAGTTATTTATTTATTTCACAAGAAAAAGTAAACAACAACTTATAAATATTTTCTTGTTGTTGATCTTGGTAAAATTATTTACTTAACCAGCATTTATGAAGGTCCCCCTGTAGCCTAGGTACAGTGCATGTAGCTAAAGATATTAACATGAATGGAGCCCAGCTTCAGCTTTGGAAGGAGCAGGAGCATAGCTGAGTGGGGAATACGGATGTAAACAAGTTATTACATCAGAGTCATTTATGTATTTGTTCATTTGCCTGGGAGAAGTGAGGCCTCAAACAGCATTTTGTTCAAAAAAATGACTGGCTTATATTCTTTATCGCATGCATGTCTGCCATTTTGTCATAGCCATGTGTGTTCAATACTTGAAATCCATTTGCCTTATGAAATGCTTACGGAATCCTGATTTCTAGAAATAATTTAAAGTTTGCTGAATGCATATGCTGTCCTATAAGTGATAGGATTGTTTTATCATTTCTGACAGAAATGATACATGCAATTAACATGTGTTCTTTTAAAATAATACTATTAACAAAGCAAGTTTATCCCCTCTACTGATATCTCTGTCTGTGTACCCAAATCCTGCAGGTATTTTAAAGTCTAGCTTGGTGCCCACCTTTTCCATTCAGCTCCGCTTGACTGTGTCAGTTTGTATCGATTTCCTGCCTGTCTGAACTCTCTTTGCATTTATGTTATGTTCTGCTTGTCTGACTTGTTAGAGCAGAGATCCCAAACTCCATCCTTTCTCCTTTCTTGAGCAGGGTTCTTGAGAAATGGATGATGGAGGTTCCTCCAGCAAATGTTTCCTCTGTGTTCCTCGTCAGAGTGGCTGCCACACACCTCCGTCTAGTCTCAGGCCTCTGCCCTGACAGTCGTGAGACTCCCTTCTGATTTCTCTCTTAACCCCTAGGCTGAGAGGGCCCCAGGTTTGCTGTGAATTCCTTTTCTTCTAGGGCCCAGCTGGTGTCCCCTCCCACTCCTATCCCAGTATTTTCAAAGCAGTAGATACCTCAGTCATCAGCCCACTGAGAAGGCAGAGCTACTTGTCCCCTTTGGCTCACTCTTCATTCTTTCCACTAAAACTCCATCCTCAAACCAGTGGCCTTAATGTACCGTTTTGACCTCCGTGTGCCCTTCATGTTTGGCCACCTTTGAGTGTGAGCTCAGTTTGTGATGGGTATGTTGTATTTTAGTGTTACTTGATAAACACCGACTTAATCATTTCTTTGTATTTGGCAAAATTCCTTCATTCTCTTTAGCTCATTTTAACTTTAGAATAACTTTAGTTCAACTCTGAGAGGCAAGCAGGCTGCCTTTATTCTTATTTCTACTTGATAGGAAAAGACACCAAAGGCTAAAAAATATTAGTGGCCTTGTTCAATGTCAGAAAAATTATAAACGATGAAGTCATTTTCAGTCATGTGCTCTTCTAAAACACAGTTCTTTTGCTTCTCTTCATTTATATTTCATGTATTTTAATCTATTTTTACTAATCTGACATGTCACTTGAGGGCCAGCTCATGCCATAAATATCTGAATCCTTTAAAACACCAAACAGTTCAACTTAACCAAACATTTATTGGATATAAAGTGTAGTCATTTCCTCATTTAGTGAGAGTCTTTATGTATTAGACTCCCCGTTGGATGTTTTCTATGTTTCCCCTCATTCTCATCATATCTCTGCTGGGTAGATTTTATCAATACTTTGGTACCATTAATATGCATTGGGATAACTTGGGAATCTTATTAAAATGTTAATCCTGATGCAGTAGGTCTGGGCAGGGCCCAGATTTCTGCATTTGTAACAAGGTTCCCAGATGAGTTGGATGGTCATGGGTGCAGTCTGAGTAGCATGCTGTTTATAGGTGAAGAGACTTTGGCTCTAAGAGATTAAGTGATTTTTCAAAGATAACACAACTGGAAGTGGTAAAGCCTTATTCAAATGCTGATCTTGCTCCCTGGAGAGTTGCCTTCCAAGTGCAGTAAGACAGATACATTCAAAGCGATCTTTGGAATGTACTTTAATGTGGAATTTACTCTAATGGAGTGTAATGGGAGGACCTTAGGTAGGAACTATGATTTGAATCTGATCTCAAAAGACTGGTAAGGCTTTGACTGACAAAGATGGGACAAAAGGACTTTTTGGATAGCAAGAACAAAAAGGGAACAAGGACACAGAATGCGGGAGTGTACAGAACATCTTCTGGGAATGGTGAGCTGGAGGCTGTAGCTGATGCCTGGGGAGAGGTGTGCTGTAGCTTTAAAGGGAGGCTGAGGTTGGATGGGAGAGCAGAGTAGACCGGGGAACCACTGGGAGATTTGGAGGACAGTGTCTGTGATAGCACATTGTAGGTGCTCAGGAAATGTGCACTGGTTGATTGAATGTAATCTAGTTTTTAGTCATCTGTTGCCCATGTTGCACCATTGAGATCTCCACAGAATTCTGTGGCCTGGCTGAAACGCCACAGAATTACCCCAAGATGACCTTTACTGTTGTTTATATAGAGCTTTCTTAATAGTCTCTTTGCCTTTGGCAATATAGGACATATTACTTTTTCCTCCCTTTCCAAATTTTTTTTTGGCTAAGAAAATGCTGCTTTTGCACAGACCAATAATACACATTCTTCTTAAAAGAAGCATTGTTCCTTCAGTAGCAACTTGTAATGGGAAAAGTGGAACAAAGACAAAATGCAATTCTGGTCTGAATGGAGACCAGTTTTTCTTTGTGTGAATAACCAGCATTCCAGTCAGGTTGCCACAGTGATGCTGAGATTATAACTGTTCATGCCAGCAGTCAGAGAACGTTGCCCAATTAGTTATTCTCAGCTGCTAGGTTACCTTGACAGTGGCTCAAAAAGCAGGTTTTGAGTTCAAAGACACTCAAAAAAGAGCAGTCGAGGACTTGCAATTCTGTTGCCCTCAGTGGGGTGCAGAGACCACAAGCTCCAGCATGCTCTGGTTTAGGCCATGTAGGTGTAGTCAGCCTTGTGAACGTAGGCACCTTGTAAAAATTCTGGTCTTTCCTTGCCCCCTGTATCATCAGCCAGCTTTGGAAGGGATTTTACTGTTTCTGGGAGCTGCCTTCAGATATTGCACATGGGAGACAGTGAGGAGAATGTATGTTTTGGCATTGGAGGCTCTTGTAGCCTCGCTTTTTTTCTCTTGTGAGCAATCTACTTCACAGGATTGATGCAGAGATGAAATAAAATAACCTTTGCAAAATACCCTGCATAATGTCTGGGGCATGGGGAGACATTCAGTGTGAAGCAGTTCTTCTCAAATATTGTTTCAAAAGTTACAAAGCATTATACAATATGATTATTATTATCATCAGTTTCTGGTCTTTTCTATTCTTTCAGTCAGAGTAGAGTAGGATAGGATATGGTAATGAACACTCTTAGAGGCTTTATATAACTAAAGTTTATTTCTCGACCATGCCACATGCCTAGAGTGGGTCAGTAGAGGACTCCATTCATCAGCTATCCAAGTACCAGACTAATGGAGGCATCATGTCCACATATGCTTCCACAGTCATCACAATGATTTGAACTGTCAGTCACATATTCCATCTGGAAGTGGAACATCACTTCCATGCACACTTTATTAGCCAAAGTAAATCATGTGGCCCCAGCCAGCTTCAAGAGGGGTAGGGAAGTGCCATCCTATAACATGCCAGCAGGAGGAGAAATAGAACATTTATTCAGGCCGGGCACGGTGGCTCATGCCTATAATCCCAGCACTTTGGGAGGCTGAGGCGAGGGGATTACCTGAGGTCAGGAGTTTGAGACCAGCCTGGCCAACATGGTGAAACCCTGTCTCTCCTAAAAATACAAAAATTAGCTGAGCATGGTGGCATACGCCTGTAATCTTAACTACTTCAGAGGCTGAGGCAGAAGAATTGCTTGAGCCCGGGAGACGGAGGTTGCAGTGAGCTGAGATCATGCCACTGCCCTCCAGCCTGGCTGACAGAGCGAGACTGTCTCAAAAAAAAAAAAAAAAAAAAAAGATGTATTCAACAACCTTAGAGACTGCCACCTCTACCAAAGAGCAAAAGGCTAATGGAGAAGAGTCCTTTAAAGAAGGAATGTTAGTTAAACATAAATGAATAAAAATATCTGAACAGTAAACTTCAAAGTAAATCAATTAGATTTCAGCTGCTTCAAACAGAAAACTCAAAATATTAGTGGGTTAAGGAAGATAGAAGTTTGTTTCTCTTTCAAGATAAAGAAGTTCAGACATAGGCAGCTTAGCGGTAGCATGGTAGCTCCATGATCGTCAGAACCATAGGATCATTTTATTGTTCCGCTATAACAATCTTAGCATAAGGCTTCCATTCTTAAATTCACCTCAGGATCAGAAATGGCTGTAGTGTTCTAGCCATTACATCTGCATTCCAGGCAGCAGGAAGGAGGAGGGAGGAAGACAGAAGAACCCTTCTCCCAGCTAAGTCAGCTCCATTTGGGCAGCCCTTCTGAATGCCCCACACAGTAATTCTGCTTACATACCATTGGCCAGAATTTAGTCATGTATTCATTCCTAGCTTCAGTGGGACAAGGGCATGTAGATTTTGAGCTGGGTGCATTTCCTCCCAAATAAAATTGGAATTTTTGTTAAGGAGCAAGGGGAGAATGAATATTGGGTGGCATTGATCCATCTCTGTTACAGTAACTTAAGATGCAAGCTTTAGTTAAGTAGGAATGACACAGAAAAGATTGCTCTATACACTGTCATTTTCCATTCTATGCTCTGCAGAATATCAGTGCTTAGAGGAGATACAAAGCTTCCTTAAGGAGTGTTCTGTGGCCAGACAAGTTAGGAAAATATGAAAAGCTTTGCCCTGTCTTGGAGATTCACAGGGTACATTAACACATTAAAAGCTTTGAGAGGCCTTGCAGTAAAGAAACCCCTAACCTGCTAATCTTTTTAACCTAGTGTTCCCAAACTTATTTGACAGTGGAAATTCAACACCCATGGAAATCTGGAGGGACAAAAGGACTGGCTTTAGCTTCTTGAGTCTGCCAAAAAGCTTTTAGATCCTTGAACAGATGGTATAAATCCCCCGTTCCAAAATGTTATCTGCCTTGCAAAACTAATAAGCAAGCAAATAAATTTGTATGTCCTTCACGGTGGCCTAGCCATAGATATAAAAGCTTGAAAAAAAAATAGATGCAAATGAAGCCCTGTTATTAACATCTGTATGAGATTTATAAGAGTTGGTATTGGTCAGCCATCTGTACCATTACTGGTGACACCAAGTGATGGACTAAGATTGGTTTGTACCTCTGCCAGATGACAGGTCCCTGCTCCAGGTAGCTATTATTGGGCTCCTGGCTGTTCCTACATGGCTCTGGGCCATCTCACCCTTCTCTGGAAATGGGAGAGTAACAGATGATCTAATCAACCAGCCAATATTTCCCTACTCATAGAAAAGTCCTGGGCCCTTGGCCGAAAGGCATTAACCCTGCCCCTTTCAGTGTGCACAACTCTTGCCCTCATCAGAGGTTCCCTCTGCAAAGGGCAAAGAAGGAAGCTCACTGTATTGTGAAGAGGGGTGGGGACAGGTAGGCAGCTGGTAAAGGGGGCCTCATACTCCTATTAGACTTAGAATAGAGTTAGGTCCCTTTTACCTAAAAGTTTCACCTCTGCCTGTAATCAACTTCATGGTTGCTTATAGGTGTAGGAAGAACAGTTGAAAATTCTTTCAAGCAAATAACGTGTCATTGGTCTGTTGTAAGCAGGTGGTAAATGAGTATCTCTGGGGGAATGGTCCCGTTAAGGCTCTTCTTCCAAAACAGAACCTTGAATTGTTTCCTAATCTTTCTTTCTTAATTATTTAGGTAACCAGCTCTTGTCTTTAAATCCATCTCCTGCAGTTGCTATCTTTTTCTTCATCTAAGTATCTTCAAAAAGGCAAAAGGCCAAAATATTTGCTAGTCTGGTTCCCATCATTTCCACCTCGTTTTGCTGGAAATACTGGAAAGTTACCCTGTCCTGACAGGTCTGGAAGGATCCCATGTTTGCAAATCTTTGTAAACTGTATGATACATTTTCCCAAACAGCTGTATAATCTCTGCAACAACCTGATGATGGGAGGGAAGGGACCAGGTTGAGCAGGGGCTGGGGTTGGGGGTGGTCATGTGCATATTGACCTTTAAAGCAACTTGCGTGTGTGTGTGTGTGTGTGTGTGTGTGTGCGCGTGTGTGTGTGTGTGTTTTGACCAAGTTTCGCTTTTGTCGCTCAGGCTGGAGTGCAGTGGCGTGATCTCAGCTCACTGCAACCTCCACCTCCCTGGTTCAAGCGATGCTCCTGCCTCAGCCTCCTGAGTAGCTGGGATTATAGGCGTGTACCACCACGCCCAGCTAATTTTTGTATTTTTAGTAGAAATGGGGTTTCACCATGTTGGTCAGGCTGGTCTCGAACTCCTGACCTCGTGATCTGCCCGCCTCAGCCTCCCAAAGTGCTGGGATTACAGGCGTGAGCCACTGTGTCCGGCCTGCATGTATGCTTCTTAAAAGACTTTTTTAGAAGAGCTGAGAAAAATTACAGGAGGTGATGGAGAGAGCTATCCTTCTCCAATATCTGTCTTGTGGCTTAGTACCCTGAAGAGTTTTCTTAACTTGCCTTATGGAGTTGGTGTGCCTTTCTCTGACTCTGAATGTGTTAGAAAACAGTCTCTGAACACACAGTTGGGGCTTGTGCATTCCTTGTGTGCACAAGCAGGTTTGTAGTCGTGACTTGGGAATTTCAGGTCAAGAAGCATGAGAAGGGCTGGCCAGTGAATCCCAGCAGCTGACAAAGGATTAAAATAGCTGTGCTATGCACCAAAATCAGAAAAAATATTCAAGTCAGTGTTACAAGAAGTCCTTGGATTGTTCTCTTTTTAGTTTTATATTCTTAGTTGTATATACTTATTTATGCAATGTAAGCTAGTAGACAATAATCAATTTATGTAGAATTATTTGTTTTCATCTGTAAGGAAATAATTTTGAACTGAGCTAACTGTGAGTATGAATATGCTAAGTCTGTGAACCGAGAAAAATATATTTTGAAAATATTATTTATCTTTTATGCTGATATATATGCATGTGACCTACTAAATGGACTGTCAAACTGGCCATGTGCACTAAATCTTCTTACATCATTTCTGGAAATGAATGAAATCGATTTCTTAACCCAACTACCTAGATTTTGCAAAAGAACAGCAGGGCCTGCCCATCCTACCTACTGTCCCTGTTTCCTTCCTTTCCAGGTCCACTTTTTGAAAGGCAATGGGTGATTCCATCGGTTTACTAAAGGGTGAAATCAAACAGAAGGAAAAACTAGAAGTCAAAAGACATAGGTCTTCATTTAACTCTGCCACTAACTAGGATAAGACCTCAGATAAATCACCTAAACTATCTTGCTGGAGAAATCTATAACTGCATAAGTATATAGAGCCTGTCTGGGCCTCTCTTTGCTCTTCTGTAAAATGGGTAGAGATATTTTATTGATATGATCTCAGAAATCCTCGCTGCAAATGTCACAGACCTTACCGCATTGTGGCTGTCGGTGGAAGAAGTGGTGATGTGAGGACTTGCTCCATCCAGATAATATTTATTGAATATCTCTGATGTCCCAGTCATGATCGAGGTATTGGAGATACTGCAGTGGACAAAACCAATAAGAGTTATTCATTCTTGGAGTAAAGAAATTATTCTTTCTTGAGTAAAGAATTTTTAGCGAACACTTTTTAAGCACTTACAATATGCTAGATGTTGCTTTACACATTTTATATATATTAATTATTATATCAAGTAATCCAGCAAAGTGGGTACTACCATTATCAGTATTTTATAGTTGAAGAAACAGGCATAGAAAGATTAAATAACATGCCCAAAGTCATATGGCTAGAAAATGGTGAAGCTGGGATTCGATTCAGGCTTTTGGCTGTAGAGTCTGTGGTTTTCACTATTATGCTATACCGCCTCTCACTGTCAATTAATTGGTTAGCTTAAAGTAATTAGCATTCATCCTAGCTAATGGCAAAGTAGGAAAAAAAGAAACTAGCTTTAGATAGAAATCTGAGAGCCTGTTTGCTCTCCCTCTCTGGGGCTTCTGGCTCTGATAAGAGGCAGGGACACCAAGCAACCATGGTATAGAAAACTTCTATGCTCCCAGCCATTTGGCTCATTGTGGTTTCCTGTCCTGAGGTCACTGCCCATTCTCTGGCTCTATTGTTAACCCACAAGGCCTTCAGCATCCCCGTAACCCCAGGTTAATTTCAGCATTGGCCATTTGTAGAGAAATGAGTAATAATGGACTTGGATTCAAAATACCTGGATTTGAATCCTGGCTCTACTATGAACCAATGTTGTCATCACCTTGGGAAACTTCTCTTAATACCACCAGCAAGAGCAGTATGTCTGTAGCCATTATTTATTAAGCACTGCCATGCATTGTGCTAAATGCTTTATATATGTTGTTTTGGATTCTCAGAACCATCTTCCATGACAGGTATTTTTACCTTTACTTTACAGTCTGGTCTTGGCTGCTGTCTCTACCACTTACTGTTTAATCTTGGGCAAGTTACTTAATTCCTTGACGCCTTAGTTTTATCATCTGAAAATTGGGGTTAGTAATACCTATTTCTCAGGTTGCATAAGGAAGAAATATGAAAATGTATGAAAAGCATTTAGGCTATGGCCTATCCCAATGACAACGATAATGCCTATTATAGCTTATTGTATAGCTTAAGGTTTTGCAGTGATTAATCCGAGGAGTGATGTTTCAAATCCAGTTCTAAAGGCCGACTTTGTGAGGACAGGCTGGAGCTGCAGGGTCTTGAGTGAAGCAGCTGAGCGGGGAGGGTGATCTAAAGCAGTGTCACTGCTGGCTGCTGCACATTAGCAGGTGAAACTAAGCAGACTGCAAACCAAACAGGAGGTGAGGAGGCTCCAGTCTCCCTGTTCTGAGAGATGAAAGCCAAACTGGAAGCTACCAGTATCGAGGGTTAGTTCCTGGAGGTTTGGCTGTGTTCTGCCAGTAGCCAGCTGATCATTGAGGAGCTGGTATTAGTAAGAGGATACCAACACTAGCCAGGAACAGCTCTATCGGAGCAGTTTGTGTCCTGGAATCAGCCTACACTCAGGACAGCCCTTCCCAAAAGACGATGCTTGACACAGGGAGCTGGGGAGTTACCTAGAACATTCATACGCAGGATGCGACATTGTAAAAATGCAGGCCAAAGGGCACTTTCCCAAATTACAGATGAAGAAAACTGGAATATGAGGGGTGAAAGAACTCTAGTAAGGAGTGGAATCCAGACTTGAACCCTAATTGTTTTGGACCAGTCCTGTGATAGGTTTGCATAGTTTAATTTGTCCTACACTGATGATCAAGTAAGAAAAATCAACAATCAGTATTTTACCTACCTATAGCCATATCTCTCTCATCTATCTATCTATCTATCTATCTATCTATCTATCTATCTATCTATCATCTATCTATCTATCTGTATATATTTATGTTTTTTACTTGAATTATCTATTCCAGTTGAGATGACTTCTTTGGGCCAGCAGGTTAATGAAGATATGCTTCTGGGCTATATTCCAGATCTCCTGGATCAATACTCTTGGAGCACCTTTTCTCATATGCTGCTTGTCGTTATGATGATCTAATCACTATGTACGTGTAGTAAGTTGCTCATGTCTGCTTCCTTCCTTAGATTGGAAGCACCATGAAGCAGGGGCCATGTACCCCACTGCCTCTACCTTGGACAGTGTATAACACACAGTAGGTGGCGAGGGAGGGTGCCAGGTAGCAGTCAGGGATTAAATAAATCTTACTGTGTAAAGCAAGACCTTTGACTCTGCAAACCTCTACTGCTTTAGAAGAGGGGAAGTTAAAGTAAAAAATTACCTTTGAGGGAACTTGCCTGGCTGTGAGTGCAGCATAAACTAGAATCTGGGGGTTGTTGAGTCAGCACAGTTTCCTAATGCTGTACTTTCGAAGATGATGTTGAAAAGCCTGAAGCCTCAAGATAAATGTGGAGAGTTCTCCTACTGTTCCTGTTTTCTTTGTTCTGTTTTGCTTTTGTAAGCATATGCTTGTCAGTTAGGGCTGAAACCAAACAAAACAGCTGCTAAATATGGTTCTAAAAGAAATAACATTTTGGTCTTCTTAAGGCCCGTAAGTTTAGAGTAAGCACAGTCGTTTGGCAGATGTCAATAGGGAATCCGGGGGTAGCAGTCATTCTGGGAGCACTATCAGCCATCCGTATTCTGTTGGGTGTATTTTACCCTGCCAGAGGACTGGTGGCCTCAAGTAAAAGATTCTGTCACAGAACGGCTGTGTCTTTAAGAGGCGTTTTGGAGGAGGGGTGTCTAGAGTCTGTGTAGGCCATTTGCTCATGATCCGTGTCAATTTCATTTTCAAAGAAGTGGGGAGGCATTGGAAAGAATATGTATCATCTTTTATGATGTGAAGGAAATAGTCATCCTAGTTACAGACTTAAGTTTGCCTTTTTCAATCTTTGGGATTTAGCCCAGTGGTGTTATTTAGTGTTCTTATAAATCCAGTATCATTCAGAGGACCTGGAGGAATTAAAGCATAACCTAGTGGCAGGGAATATCAAACCCTAGATCTTAAATCTCTCCTCTCTGCTGTGAAGCTGGGCTTGAGCCTGCCAATGCCATCTAAATTTCATCAGCTGAAAGAAAGAGTATTTATTTCAACATCCAAGGAACCCCCAAAACTTAATGCGCCTTCTCAATTGTCTAACTAATTTTTAAAGAGACATACATTTTGTCCATAAATACCTGACTCTGTTTGCTAAGCATGTGGTGGGTAATATTATTGGTTGAAAAGCAATAGGTTTTCGTTTACTGGCCAGATTAGTTTTATTGGCTTTTTTAGTTGAAAATCTATAAAATGCGGACTGAATTTTACTGTGGCATATTCTTTGTTTATTACATGAACTCATTTTCAAAGATGAAAAAGAAAAGGGAGGAAGAAAATGAATATTTATTAAAGTCCTATTACATATCAGGCCCCAAGCTAGTCTAGACACTCACAGTTCTCATTGTATCTCCCAAGGGAGGTAATCCTGTCCACATTTTAAAGATGAGGAAACTGAGGTTCAATGCAGTTCTGAAACTGGCTCAAGGTTAGAGAGCTACCAGGTGGTAAACCAAGGGCTGGGGATTATGGTTCCATGAAGCTATGATATAGTGATTAGGAACTCAAGGTTTGGAGTCTGACCATCTGAGTCAACATCCTGGCTCTGCCGCTCATTAGTAGTGTGACCCTGACTAAGCATTTAATCCCTCCGTGCCTCCATTTCCTAATCTGTAAAACAAAGATAATGATAGCATCCACTTGATAAAGCTGTGATAAATGAGCTATTCATGAAAAATGCTTAGAATCGTTTCTGACACATAAGTCCTCATGAAATGTTCACTATTACTGTAATTTTTATTGTCATGACTAACCAAGTTTGCTTTTATCAGTACTGGCTGAAAAATTACATTTTCTTTCAAGGAATAGTCTACCTTTTGATATGTAGTTATATTTCATTATGAAATAATGTAAACTACTCTACCTTAGAATTAAATTCTCTTCTCACCCTCCCAGCAAAGGTTAAGATCTGAATAAAGGCATGTGTGGCCAACAGGGATTCTTGACTTTGGTAAATGTCAATGATTTGCTCTTTTCTCCTTGGTGTATGTAACTTTCTTCCATGCTGCTCATCCTGGCTTTAAGAGCAGCTAAGCAAACACAAGAGGGAGAATTAAGTGGATTTCTTATCTCTTAGCTTTCCTGTCTTTGTAACATGATTATTAGGTACAGCTTCCTCTCCTTGCTGCACATTCTGTTGGCCACATTCTGACAGCCTGTCTTCTCAATGCACGTGAGGCACAGTTTACTACAACAGGCTCTATGGATTTTATTTTTTTAAGCTGGGAATACTACAGGGGCTTTTACATGTGACAGTTTTGTCCATTTGGGATTGGGGTAAGGAGGATAGAGGGCACAGTGGTAAAACAACTTGTCTAGATTTAAAAGAAATGATGTAAGTTTGCTAGACCTTTGGCTCTACATTCTGATCCCATTTTTTGTGATTTGCACTATACATGTCTTGAAGAATTGGGAGTGGGACATCAACCTTATTCAGTAAATAGTTATATCTAGCAGTTATGTATTGGACAGCATGCTAAGTGCTGGAAATACCAAGATAAATATGTTACAGTGCTTGCTCTTGAGGCATTTGTAATTCATCAAGGGAGAGAAATGTAAGAGAGGCTAGCACTATGTGAAAATGGTTATCATAGAGCTGTGCACAACATATTGCGGCTGCAGAGAGAGAGAGGCAGTGACGCTGATTTAAGAAGGGCTTCAGAAAGGAGGCAGCAAGCTGGGCTTTCAAGGATGGGCTTGCCTCATAAAGAAAGCAGAAGGAATAATCTTGGCAGATGGGCAGTATGAACCAAGAGCTGAGTGTGGTATGTTAGGGACATGAGGGACATGTGTTGGTTATAGTACAGAATGATGGAACACAAGGCTGGGAATCGAGGCCAGGCCTAAGAATGACATGACCTTGACTTTCAGTTTGAACCGTATCTTGTATTATTTTAAATCATGGAGTGTCATGATTAGAAATGTCTGTTTTAGAAAGATCAGTATGGAGAATAGCTTAGAAGGAAGAAAGAATTAACTAAAAGCAAATGGTCCCAGAAAAAGATGATGAAGCCTGTTGTGTGAATGGAGTGGAGTAGATGGATATGGTGGACATTTGGAGATAAGATCATTGACACTTAGTGAACAAAATTAGGGGAGTGGTGGACAAGGGTGGAAACTTAGGGGAAGGTACCTAGAAGGTGTGAGCAGAAGAAATATTATAGAATCTGTGAGAGAGACTAAGAGGTATGATAGAAGATGGTGGAGGGATATATTTTCAACAGGAGTAGTGATGCTCAGGAGTATAAATGCCTCAAAAGGGACAACTAGGACAGGACTGAGAAGCAACCACTATGTGTAAGAAATTGAGGTTCATGGTGACCTTTTGGGGAAATTACTTTAGAGGTACTCTAGAATGGAGAAAACAGCTAAATGCTTATACTGTTCAAGCTGTATCACAATTCTACAAGGATGTAACTAATGATGAAATGCATTTGTGTGAAAGACTATTCACAAACATTCAGCTCTCCAGGCGCTTGGATTGGGGGAAAGAGAGAAGAGAGCCTAGGGTCAGTACTGAGGTGTCACTGAATAATACCTCTGACTTCCATATCTAGGGTTTCAAAGAGCCCCCTCCTTGCAAATACCATGACTCATGCTATTTTGCTTTGTTACTCTCAGGATACTGTAGACTGTAGATGCTTATAGACTTCTCTTTTGATTCCAGACTGGTTCTTATTTCTAGCCATGGTGCTTGTAGTGTATGTTGTGGTATGTCACACAGAGCTCAGTTCTCCACTGCTGAGGCACTCAGTTGTCCACCTTCTGGGAGTGTAGGTAGCTAGGGATGACGTTCATCTGAAAAATGTCCTCAGCTGAACAGTGTCAGTTCACCTAAGATTGTTACCTCTGGGACGGGTATTGGGGGGCATCCCACATGCAGTGACTAGTCAATGGAGATGGGATGCAAAGTCCTGATGCTTCCAGGTAGGATAATTCTCCAGGGCTGTCCTAGCTCCAGCACTTCCATGGATCAGATGAAGTTTTTGTTACCACTACATTTCAGTTCAGCTCTTCCTTTGGCTCAGTCCAGTTCTTCCTTTACTCCCCGGCAGGTGTTGATTCTGAGGCATACCCCAATAAACTCACACAGTATAAATCTCAGGGAGTCTCAGGTTTTATTCCTGGGGAACCCATCTGATATGATGATTCTTTCCAGTTTGGTTGCCTATGCAAGGCCAGTTGCCAGTAGAACTCTTTAGTTCCTCTGAACTTTACTTCTGAGGCCCTTGGATGTGTCCAGCAAAAACCTTCTCCTAGCAGTTTGAACTAAAGGCTCAGCATTAAGCCTCCTTGGTTTTGATTGGTTGGGACATATACCCAAGAATAGATTATTCAAGGAGAGAAAAGAGCCTCACAAGTCAGCTGTCCAGATCTTCCTGAGACCTACCTACTAACCCCAGCTCTGAGAGGGGACCCTGAGGCGAGTGACCTTTGGATGTAGAAGCTGATTCCTGCTCTGCACCTGTTTGTGCTCCTGCCCTCATCTCACATCCCTGTTTGATTCCCAGGTTCCTTGAGGCAGCCACTCATCACTGTCCTGTATCTCTTCTCTTTCTGTTATTTTTTTTTTAGTTAAGAAAAATGAATGTTGAAAACACAATTGAGCTATTTCAAGCAAATGTAGGACTTCTCTCCAAATATGTTGCAGAAACACCACCAAGCAAACAAACTACTGGGAAGCACAGCTTAGAAACAAACAGCAGCTGCCACCATTTATGGGCTTTTTTTTTCTTTTCCTCATTTCTTTCTAATTCCATTTGTAATAAAACCTGCTGCTCTAATGGCCTAGTAGTTTAACCAACAAAATTTTTCTTCCCGATCCTGAGGCCTCCCAGGTGGCCTTGATGGTGTCTTCTAACTATGGGGTGTTGGTCGACTCAGAGCTCTAAGTCCCTTAAGAGTGTTTTCCGGTTTTGTGGTTCTGTCTGGAACCACACCTCCCAGACCAGGTGGGGCATAACTGGAACTTCTGGACTTCTGGATTTTTCAGGACATGAGCATGGAGTGTGGTTTCTTGCCCTTCTGGCTTTGTAAGAGCAGGTAATGTAGTGCTAACTCCAATCTTTCTCAGTGACTAAGTGCTTAATCTGTTGGGTGCTTTGTTTGCTTTTTGTTTTTGTTTTTATTTGTTCTCTGTGTGGAATCTTTGAAGGCACCTACGCAGGGGCTTTTCTTGAGTTTGATTTACCACAGATTGGACTTTAAAGCATCCTGACTTGTCAGATCAAACTCATTTTTCCCTTTCCCCAGAATAGCAGATAAACTCATTTTCCCCTTCCCCCATTTAAATCCTGCTGGTGGTGTGGAATTTCTCAGCTTAAAAGTGATTACTATTAGGTGTTAATAGATTTCCGACTACTTGAAAGGCATTGTGCAAAGCCCACACTTATTCTTCACAAGAGCATGGCTAGGTAGATGTCATCCCTGCAGACCCAGACAATATGTTGCTTTCTCGGGGTCTCCTAGGATCACACAGCTGGTCAAGGCACAGCTGGTATTTAACCCAGGTCTCTCTGAATCTGAAGTTCAGGCTGTTCCCTCCCTGCCTCTTAGCCACCCATTGTAATAATATATGGCATTGCTCTTATGTAAGTGTCCAGTAGAGACAGGCCAAAGGCGCAGTCTATTTTTATTTGTTCCTAAGAATGTTTTTTAAATTAAGTGCCTAAAACTTAAAAAATAGGAGATCTCACATTAAATACAATGTTCAGTTTCTCTTGAAAAATCTTTAGACCTGGCAATATTGTGCTCATATGTTGACAAGACAACAAGTGGCTCCAGCTAAGTAAACTCCACCCCACCCCACCCTACCATACCATACCCTACCTCCCTCAAGGAGGCTCGGGTTGCCCAGTTTGCCACAGGCCCCAACTGGACCACTTTACTTGTTTATGTTACTGGCCTGGCCTCTGTAGACATTTAAGTTTGTGACTCCTAGATTTATGCCTTTAAAGAAGCAATTTCTGTCCAGTTAGGAATCAGTAAGGGGTGAAAGTCAATTTCTGCCTCTGAATAGAATTTTATTGGCTTTGATTTTTCTTTTCAACTTTTTGGGATAGTAATTCAGTTATAATAGCAGTAATTTTGGATATTTATTGAACGCTGTAACATTTAGCTGACTCCTGGGGTTAGTGGACAACTGATTGGTGGTAAGAACTTGAATAATTCTCCAATTTAGTTTGCATTCTAAATCCTGCAGTTACTCAGCAGGTACTGCAGGAACTGGAGGCTATCCTCAAAAGTATATTTTGTAGAGGCAGTATTACAGAAGAGATGAATCCAAAGAAAAACTTTCTGAGAGAGGTAGTTAAGTTGACTCTATTTTCCCTTGGAAACTGTTGACTACCATAGGTAAGATTGCCCCACAATGCACGAACACCCTTCTTAGCTACCAGGGCTCACTCAACACAATGAACAGCTCGGATATTTCAAAGAGAAATACCCTGGAACATTAGAACCTTCTCAGGATGATGAGTCTTTCACTTTATCTTGCTGTAGCTCCTGCAAGTGTGTTTTTCCATTTAACAGTGAGAAATGTGTTACTTCTTTTTTATTATTTCACTTGAAAAAGCATCTCCTTTTGCCTGATTTAAACACATTTCATAGAAATGTAAAATGGAAAGAAAATAGAACTTGGCTAATTTCATAGCTGCAGCTGACTTAAATTTTAAAATTTTGATAGTATTAAATGTTAACACATGAGAGCCCCTGAAGCTAAAGTTGTTATTTATTTGCTTAATTTAAATAAGTATTTGCTTTTGATTAAGGCAATGCCTGGAATATTGTTTTGAATTTTTATTGTTTGTTTATTTTCTTTCAGGACCCCGCAGGGATCTTTGAATTGGTGGAACTTGTTGGAAATGGAACATACGGGCAAGTTTATAAGGTAAGTACATTGAGTCTGAGAGTGGCTTATGTACGGTTTCAGTTCATGAATGACAAATTGCAGTGCTGTCTATACTGGCTCATAAATGGCTCCTAACAAATTTAAAATGAATTAATATACTTGTTGATTGACTCTCCATCTTTTAAAATATATCTGTGGTTATGTTGCTTAAACTGGATTCTGTGATTTGGGTATTTCCCTTCATTATATATTACTGTGTTTGTATGTGACACATGAATTCTGATGGCACATATTTGAAGCTCTTCAAGCGTTCAGTTTCCTTTACTTAATCACTGCCAGAACTGGTTTTTGAAAGAGAAAAGAATGCCATCTACTTCAGAAATTTAAGCTATTAAACTATTACAGCTGGAAAAGTAGATGTGTTATTGGCCTAGGACATGAATTAAATGAGTGGAGTGAACAGTGTTGGAAGAAAACTGGGTTACCTCACAAAGCAAAAGCTTAATAGCAGCGACGAATTTTAGGAAATAATTAAAAGTTAAACTTGAGTTGAGACTGAGCTGTGGAATAAGAAGTCTTGCTTGCCTGTGTACTAATTTCTGCTTACAAATTCACTCAAAAAGTGTTTTTAAAAGGTATTTTCCCCAAGTATAATCTACGAAAAATGGCTGGTTGAAAATGTGAGTTGATTCCTTTTCTGATTGTCAAAAAAAAAAACAAAAAAAATGAAAGTGAACTGTTTTTGGACTGAAACTTTTGGGGTTTCATTGAATGAGCTATTGAAATGCCATCAAAACAAACCAACTGTTTCCTCATGATAATTTCTAGGGAAATATCCATCATTTTCCCTAGTGGCAGCGATATGGGATGGCATTTCCATTACAAATTATCTCGTGTTCTATTTTTAAAAATTCCTCCTGAGCCCTAAACTTCTCTCAGTTAATTAAATTTATTATAGAAATCATTCAGGTTGTAATATTTTCAATTCTGCAGAATGTCAAAAGTATTATTTATAGGGTATTCTCGAGATTCTAAGTGGATACACATTTATATGTTTATTTACGAGAGGTTTCCTTTGGTGTCCAGGGGAAAATTCTCCCTTGCAAGAAACGATTATTTCCTAAATTGTACACCTTTTACCATTAGACAGAATGTAGTCTACCCAACCTGCTCACTTGACGTTGATCCTGTCTGACACAGAAAGAAATGTGTCTCAGCAAAGGCTTTTAAATACTTTCAATGAAGATAATTAGGTTGGAAGATTGTGTTACTGCATTTTGAGAAACTGGATTGAACTTGTGAAGTAACTAATGAATTAAGCTCTGACTTAGGTACAAAATTACTTCTGATTTGCTGTCAATATGAAGGAGCAACTCTGTAGCATGCTGTTGGTTTTATGGTGCCATTTCTTAGAGCCTTTCCGTTTCATTATGTTTCCCACCCATAGAATATACATTTGGGAGACATTTCACAGCTTGGTACACTAATTCAAGAGGTGAAACTCTGCAGTCTTATAAGAGGAGATACCAAGAGATTCAATTAAGGATGAGAATATTTGGAAAATCCAGAATTATCCATAATTTCTTGTTATTTGAAAAAGGCAAGGAAACAAATGGCAAGAGGTCTCAGATCTTTTTAGAGAGGGAAGATATTTAGCAGCTAGGTTGTCAACATTATTATTCTAAAGGATTCCATTCTCTTGGTGGTTGATACAGTACTATGGCACCTTCCAAGTTTAAGGGAGATTCTGCAAAGAATGGTCATGGTGAATGCAGTGAACTTTGGGACAGGAGATTTGCTCTCTTTTACCAGCCCCATTGTTTTGTAGCCACCACAGCTTTTCTGTGTATTAGTCAAATGAGAATGTAGTTAGAGATGCTTTGGGGCCTGGCCAGGTGCGGTGGCTCACGCCTGTAATCCCAGCACTTTGGGAGGCCAAGGCAGATGGATCATTTGAGCTCAGATTTCAAGACCAACCAGGCCAACATGATGCAACCCTGTCTCTACTAAAAATACAAAAATTAGCCAGGTGGTAGTGGCATGCACCTGTAATCTCAGCTACTCGAGAGGCTGAGGCAGGAGAATCTCTTAAGCCTGGGAGGCAGAGGTTGTGGTGAGCCGATATCTTGCCACTGCACTCCAGTCTGGGCGAGAGAGTGGGACTCTGTCCCCTCCCCCCCCCCCCAAAAAAATGCTATGGGGCCTTGTGTTGATTTACTTAAAGAATTATAACTCCCTACCTACCTATTTAAGGGTTTGGTTTCTAGGCAACCAGACGATGTTAGGTGGCACTGCTCATGAGCAGACCCTGTGTTTCCTGAGGCCACTAATCCAGTCCTGCTGTCATTCTGAGTTCTAAAAGATTAAAGTTTAATAAAATAGCAAAATACGAGCTAAAAGATATGTGAGCCTAAGTAAATTACATTAAAAAGTGATTGCACTATAGATTATGCAACTTTTATGGAATATGTATGTTTCTAAAATACTGTAGGTATAAATAGAAATGTTATAGCTCTAGGAGGAGGTCCTTATACATAAAATCATATGATAAGTATTTTCTTTCTGTTAAATACTGTATTAGTCTGTTCTCCCGCTGCTATGAAGAAATACTTGAGACTGGGCAATTTATAAAGGAAAGAGGTTTAACTGACTCACAGTTCTGCCTGGCTGAGGAGGCCTCAGGAAATTTACGATCATGGCAGAAGCCACCTCTTCACAGGGTGGCAGGAGAGAGAATCAGTGCCCAGTAAAGGGGGAAGCCTCTTATAAAACCATCAGATCTCATGAGAACTAACTCACTATCATGAGAACAGGATGGGTGAAACCGCCTCCATGATTCAATTATCTCCACCTGGTCTCTCCCATGACACATGGGGATTACGGGAACTACAATTCAAGACGAAATTTGGTTGGGGACACAGCCAAACCATATCAAATGCTAAGCCTTTGATTTTAATTTTTAAAGTCTCTCTTTTGGCATTCCTGGTTTTCATAAAGTCAGGTATAATTTTATGAATAAGTATATGGACATAGCCCTTATTTTATGGAAAAATTTATTATAAGTTTCTTTTTTATAAGCTGCCCTAAGAGAGTCATAATATAATTTTGTTTACAGGTAGTTTTAAAGAAACATACTTAATATAATAAATAAAAAGTATATGTAGGTATTCAGAGAACACCTTGAAATATATCTGCATGTGAGTCAGGTACATCTAGATATAGAAATATAAATATTTTATATAAAAGCCATTTAATAATGTTTAGTTTTTCAAAGTTGCTTCTAGTCTTACTCCCAATTTTAGCTTATTCCTGTTTTGGGCAAGGTTAGATTTGTTTATCTTTAGCATTTTAGTCCCATCTAATCAAGTAGTGATTCAATGTCTGTTTTTTGCTTTATTTACCGAGGAGCATAGGTAAATAATAAAGAATAGTGATTCACTCTCAGGACTTTTAATGAGGAAACCATCTCCTTCTGTTCATGGCTGCATTAAAAAATAAACCAACAAAAGGCCACATACCCATTTACTAAAGGTCTTGGCTGTTTATTGGCATGCCATCTATTGGGAACCTAATGGAATCTGGACACATTTTTGTTAAAATAGAGTAATTCTTTTAATAAATTGAAATAATTGTTTAATGTTTACTGGTAAGATACCACTACAAATTAGCCACAGGTTTTAAATAAATGTTGGTTTTTCCTGTCTCCTAATTTGCCCTTTTGAATATAGATTGGTTATTACGGAAATGAAGACATATTTTATCCCAGGGTGATAATGTGAATTAGGAATATGAAGGATTCCTCAGTATTTCTCATATTTCTTTTCAATACTTCTTAAGGTTGTAAAGTGCAAAGTAGGGAGGCCGTCGTGGTGGCTATTGTGCTTAAGAGAGACAGATGCTGTGAGTGTGTATATTTCCAGCATGCTATAAGAGTCTTCATAGTCCTCATTCTGAGTTCTCTGCCAGCTGGCTGTTCAGCCCATCCTTCATGACCTCCAGTCATGTGGAACTCATTACTTTTCTGTCAGTCCATTTTCCTGCAGTTCCTTTGAATGTTATCACATTGTGCTGAGATCCTGCCTTCTTAAAATGTTTACCATTTCAACCCCATTTCATACCTCTAGAGCTATTTAAAATTTAAAATTAAATATTCTTTCACAAGAATGTAGAACTTTTGGGCCGGGCGCGGTGGCTCACGCCTGTAATCCCAGCACTTTGGGAGGCTGAGGTGGGCAGATCACCTGAGGTCAGGGGTTCAAGACCAGCCTGACCAACGTGGAGAAACCCTGTCTCTACTAAAAATACAAAATTAGCTGGGCGTGGTGGCACATGCCTGTAATCCCAGCTACTCAGAAGGCTGACGCAGGAAAATCACTTGAACGAGGGAGGCAGAGGTTCTGGTGAGCTGAGATCGCACCATTGCACTCCAGCTTGGGCAAGTAGAGCGAAACTCTGTCTCAAAAAAAAAAAAAAAAAAAAAAAAAAAAAAAAAAAAAAGAATGTAGTCCTTTTGTGTAGTCCTTTTGATATTTGAAGAAAATTTCTCCGTTCTTCCTCCAAACATATACTTACATCTCCTGTTGTCCAGGCAATGTAGCCTCAGTTGCTTGATTCATTCTTATGGCATAGAGCTGAGGCCCTTCATTATCCCCACGAACTATTCTGTCACTAAAAGTCGTGTTTTATGCTTGTAAATAGTTTTATATTCCATAAAACCTTTTGAATATATTATTTAATTTCTATATTAGAATGAGCACCTTGTTCTCACTTCAGGGTCTTTAAAGTCATAGTTCCCTCTACTTAGAACACTTTCCCCCAGCCCTCTCATGGCTGGCTCCTTCTCCTTCAGGTCTCAGCTCAAATGTTACCTTCTCAAGGAAGCCACTTTTCATCCCTGTGTCTATTACAGCTAGCCACTGCCTCTGCTTCCCTCTGCCATAGACTTTCTTTATTACATTAACCTGCTTTATTGTTTTTATGGTATTGCCACTCTCTGAATTATCTTACTTCCTTGTTTATGTCTGTATTTAGCAATTTAAATACATAAGTCAAGGGAAAATTAAGTCAGAGACCTAGTCTGTCTAGGCCATCACTATCCCTAGTCTGGCACACAGTAAATGTTGACACTTCTGGGGCCCAGAATTGAGCTATGTTTTCCTTGATAATTCTTTCTATATTTGTTCCCAGTTTTAAATTTTTTTTAGCATTTTCATAAAATGTTAATCTTTGTACTTTAGAAAAATATATTTGCACAAAAGCAATAAACAAAATCCTCTACCTATTTTTTTTTTTTTATAATGGGATGGGGATGTGGATCTTATGTTTAATGAATTACCAGTAGTCTGCAGAAGCAAGACTATGCTAGAAATTTACAAAATGAGGCAAAGCAATTTTCTGGGGTCTGGTCTCCTGGCAGAGGTCCTCAAACTTTAGTATGTAAAATGAATATTTGGGAAAGGATTTAAAATGTAGATTTCCCGGCTCCAACTTCTGAAATTTTGATTCAGTGGGTCTGGGGTATCCTCTTTGAACATTTAATAAGTATAAATGCTCATTCTGTTGTTCAAGGTCCTGGGACCGCACCTCCAGAAACTGCAAAAATGATTGTATGTTATCCTGTTATAGGTCACTTGAGTGAATGCTAATCCTATACTTTTTGTAATCATTTATTTTAGGATTTCCATGCTGACTCAAACTTACATAAACTGAGAAAAGCAAAAATCAAAGATCTTGCCCTGAGATGTGATACCCGCCTGTTTTGGCTTATTCAAAGATTTGACTTTCAGTGTTTTTATTTGATATGCTTATGATTACAGTTTAAAGCTGAATAATTTAACTCAAGACCTGAGAATCAATATTGTCAAAACTGACCTTATATAGCAAAATCTTGGCCTGTTGGGTGGAGATTTTCTCAAATCTGTATATCACGATCTCTTCATTAACCTTCTGTTAAAATAAGATAAAACATTTCAATAGCAAGTTTATTAATAGTTTATTTATGGAGGTGATTCTATAACATTATCCTGGATGCACTGTAGCTTTTCATAGCCTGCTGCAATGAATCATGTATTATACTATTCACTTATTGTTTGGCAAGGAGTGAGTATGGGAGAATGGTGTGTTTTATAGATAATAGTGGCGTTTGTTTTTTAATCAAGAATTTCTAACATAAAGAATACATTCTTTCACATTTGTTGAGTGCCCATGAAAAAAGCCCTGTGCTTTGTATGGGAATAATGCAGAGCTAACTGAGGAGGTTCCTACTCTTAAGAAGTGCGTAATCAGATTATCTAATTAGGACTGAGTGTTCACTGTGCACCAGAGGTTTTTATGTATATTGTCTCAGTTATTCCTCATGGTGGTTATGGTCTCATTTTACTGGGGAGGAAGAACATTTATTAAATCACATTATCACTGTAAGGCAGGGTTTCTCAGCCTCAGCACTCCTGAGATATGGGGCTGGATAATTCTTTGTTGTGGGGGCTGTACTGTGCATTGCAAGATATATAGCAGCCTCCCTGGCCTCATCCAACTACAAAGCAGCAGCACCCCTAAGTTGTGACAGCTGAAAATGTCTCCAGTTTTTCCTGTGTCTTCTGTGGGGGTAAAACCACTGCTCTAAAAATCACACAGAATGGCAAAACTCTTAACATTGAGGTGCAAGTGGGGATGGTGAGAGTGTAGACTATTTAGGAATTAATGCTGTCCAGGCAGAGTGGGGACCTGAATGGGCACAAGATGTGGGTTTGGAAAAAGCTTAGAGGCTTTGGCATTTCCACTGTATCTGGGAGTGTAATTGAGCATTTTTATAAGTGGAAAGAGTATAATGAAAAGGACTTTGGAGCAGGACTGCCTGAGCTGGATTCCTAGTCTGGTTTTGCTCTGTTCCAGTCATGTGAAGATAATCAACTTACCCTGTGAGCCTGGATTTCTTTATCTTTTATTAATAGTACAGATTAGAGCTGTTAATGAAAACTCAAGTATAAAACATTAATATGTGGAAGCATTCAGCTCAGTGCCTGACACATAGTAGGCACTCAATAACCTTTTCCTCTTCCCAAACACATGTGCCAGTTCTTCCCATGGTCTTGCTTTCATAGAACATTTTATGACCTAAAAGAAACATTCATAGAGGAATGAAGTTAGAAACACATGTCTTTGTGCTCCACATTCTACATTTGATTTATTGGTTTTTATGTATGCTTAGAATGGCATTATTTGTATTAAATATTAGGATGGTGCAAAAATAATTGTGGTTTTTGCCATTAAAAGTAATGGCAAAAACGACAATACTTTTGCACCAACCTAATACCAGTATTACTTTTAATGGCAAAAACAGCAGTAACTTTTGTGCCAACCTAATACAATTCTTACATTGTATTTGGTGATATAATTGCCACTTGGATATTATATTTGGTCTTTAGTGCTTAAAAAAGCCAATGTCTCAATAATGTGTAAAGAGAAGATAGGTTAATAGAGGAAACAGGAATCAGTTGCAGCACTGTGGAACTTTGGTGGGGTGAAAATGGTTTCTGAATAATTTTATATTTCACAAGTTTTGGAGGAGAAGCAACAGTATTTCTTCTTCAGGTAGCATAAGGTCTCAGGAGAGAGTCTTTATTGTGAGATTAGTGAAGGGGTGTGGAGCAGCAAGAACCTCATTTAGATATTGAGGACCCGTTGTATGGTTTTGGTTCTACCCTTAACTTGCCTTAGCTTTGAGCTTGCCATAGATCTATTTGGAACTTCAGTTGTTCTCATCTGTAAAATTAGAATATAAAGAAACAGTTTTCATGATATAACCCATGAAGCTATCGTGAGGTTGAAATCAATTAATGACTATGAAAGTATTTTGTTAAATATAAATTCCTATGTACATGTAAGGTTTGATTACTGCTATTGTCATTTATTACAATAGGAGGTGGCAGATTCCTGTTATCTTGGGGTCTGGGGAAGTTTATTCCTATGTTGTTATTTCTCTTCTTCATCCTCAGGCTTTATTATCTGTTCTTAAAGTGTAGTTTTGCTAGAATTAAAGGTAACAATTTTACTTCCATTCTCCAATAAGTAGGAGAATCATTCACCTTTGAAATATGTTGGCTTGATGAATTTTTCATCCTCATAGATCCCCAAGTTGTTTGCATCTAATTTGTCTGAAGACCATGCCACCTTGTGCTATGATCTGTTGAGTATAATGAATTAGATGGTTGTCATGTGAACATGGAGGGAAGACCTTCGTGGGTGCCTGTGTGCTAGATGCCATATGGGTGGGTCGATTGCTCTACTAGGTAGTTGAACCTGTAGAGTTGCTACCAAAACTTGATACAGGGACTGTGTGGGATTTCTTATTGCTACTAGTGGTTCGCAGCCTTCACTTTTTATAGAAATCATCTGGATAATTTTGCAAAACTATAGATAATTGGGCCTTTCTTTAAAAATTTGATTTTGGTTTGTCTGATGTTGGGCTGGGGAAGGTTTTATTCCAGACCTTCCCAGATGCTTGCAATGCACAGCCAGGATAGAGAGCTGCTGGGCTGAGGCTGTCTGTAGTGTAAGTGCTCTTTTGGGTATCTTTGTCTTTGGAGATGAGTCTACCCCTTTTAGCTCTATCTTGGGGTTTTGTTTACCTTTGTTTATTTATTCAGTGTCAGCCTTCATAAGTATCTAACAACTGCCTGGCATTGCCATCAGGGCATGGTTTATAGATAAACATGTGGCATGGTCCTTGCCCTCCAAGGGTTTGAAGTCTCTGGGTGGAGAGACATGAAAATAGATCACTTCAATGTTGTATTCCATGCACCACAGCAAGAGTATACAGAGCAGAGCCAAATCTGTGGGGGCTGTGGGAAGACCAGGAAAGCCTTCATATAAAGGTGACTCTTGAGTGGAGTCTTAAAAGATGAATAGATGTATGTGGAAGGGGAATTAAGTAGGTACTCTAGGGAGAGGTAGTGTTACCAAAGGCTTGACTGCTTTTGATGGCCTGGGCCAGGGTCAATAACCTGAGGTGAAGTAGGGCTGGGAAGCCTTTAAGACAGACATGGACAGATGGCTCTTCTGGCCTTGAGTCTTGGCCTTGAGACTCATTAGCTGTGTGAGCTTAAGCAAGTCATTTAGCTTTTCTGGGCCTTGGTTTCATGTATAACGAAGAGGTCTGGCTAGAGGGTCTCCAGAGTTCCTTCTAGATATGACATCCTTTAATTCTAAGTAGAGCACTAGTCTGGATAACCTCCACAAGTTGCTTCCATGAATCCACTTACAGCCTGTGCTTTTCCAACTGCAAAACTGTTACAGCAATACTCTAAACCATTAGCAAAATGATTTATACGGAATGCCTAACATTATTAAGGTACCCATGTGGCCTGGTGGCATTGCTTGGTGTAGTTGATGTGTTGAAGGATGTAGACACATGCACATTTTATACCATTCTCTCATTAATTCAGAGCCGCAAGGTTTTAGCAGGTTCTCACTGCCTCAGTGAATGATGATACAAAATTTCTAATAGTGATGAAAAGAGGATGAGATTTTCTGTTAGGGATGGACATGGATTGGCACTCGTGTGCTCAATTTTGATTTGAAGTATTTAGAATGCTTTAGTCCAAAATACTTTCATTCCACCTCATATTGTATCAATGAGTTGCCAAATAACTTGATGCACAACCCCCTCATGACTTGTAGTTTTTAGATCTCATAACACCCTTAATGACTTCGTGATTATAAGGCACTTTCAAGTAATTAAACCATCAATAGTTACTATTCTGGGTTATTTGTAACCTGTAAAATGAAACCCCGCCAGGATTACAGGCACAGAATTTAGGGCTCTTCACGGTTTTTAACTATTTTGTACATGGGAAACATTTGAGACTCTTTAATAAAAAGAATAACCAATTAACTGTGGTATTGAGATTGTATTTCTTATCTCTGTAGTTTAACCTTAAGTATAATTTCATTAAATCTGCTTGGATATTTTGCATATGCAAAAAGAAATATCTGCTGTTCGGCAAGCAAATATATGCTTACTACTACATAGGAGCGTTGTTGGTGGTGAGGGTCTAGAATGGGGTCATTACAACCTCTGCTGCTGGGTGCAGTGGCCTCTGATATTGCTTCGGATCTTGGTCCTGTTGCTCACTTTGCAAGGAGAAGCACAGAACTACTGTGTCCATTTTGTTCCTCTCTACAACAAAGGCAGACAAGTGTAGCAGCTGGTTACACAATTTTTCTAGATAAATTACAAAATGTCTGTTACAACAATCATGATAATAATAACCATATCATCTTTGTGGACAGCAGGGAAGAGTTAGGAACTCCATATGTGAAGAACTCAGTCTCCTTTAAGGAGAAGGTGACTTCTTGTTTTAGAAAACTTGCCCGTTACTGTTTAACATCTTCGAGTTGATACTTCGAGTATGGCTTGAGAAATTCAGTTTTGATCTGTGCATCACATTCAGGGAGGTGGTATGAGGCTCCTAGCTGAATTTATCTTACTGGAAATCTTTTTAGTGGTACCTCTTTCTCTTATCGTAGAACGTACATACAGTAATTACCCCCTTAGCCATTTTAAGTGAGCATACAATTCAGCAGCATTAAGTACATTCACATTGTTGTGCAACCTTCACCACTACCCATCTCCAGAACTTTTTCATCATCCTCAACTGAAACCCTGAACCAGTTAAATATTAACTCCCCATACCCTACTATCCCTCACTCCACCCCATGCCCTGATCTCTGTTTAAAAAAATACTGTTAGTAAACTTAAAACTTAATTATAGAGGTGGTGGTTTCCTGGGTCATGTCCTGCAACACTGGATCTGCAACAAGCTTGAAATGGGTCTGCATGTCTGTCTGTCCTTACGTTGGCGTTCCTCCAAGGTACCTCACCAACAGCCCACTTTATTATCTGCAGGTGACTGACCGCCCCACAACTGCAGGGCTGCATCTTGTTCTAGGAAGCTGAAACCAGCTGAAGCCCTTGATTTTTCTACCCTGTTTATATCTAAATAAAACGATCCTTCTCAGGTAGAAGTCCACAAAAAATACGCAAGCATTTTGTATGAATCCTAAAAGAATATTGTGTATGTTTTCTGATATGGTTTGGCTGTCTCCCTACCCAAATCTCACCTTGAATTGTAATAATCCCCGGTCAAGGGTGGGGCCAGGTGTAGATGATTGAATCCTGGGGGCAGTTTCCCTCATACTGTTCTCGTGTAGTGAATAACTCTCAAGAGACCTGATGGTTTTATAAAGGGGAGTTGCCCTACACAAGCATTCTTGTCTGCACCATGTAAGATGTGACTTCGCTCCTCATTCACTTCCGGCCATGACTGTGAGGCTTCCCCGGCCATGTGGAACTGTGAGTCAATTAAACCTCTTTCCTTTATAAATTACTCAGTCTCAGGTATGTCTTTATTAGCAGTGCAAAAACAGACTAATACATTTTCTATATTAAAATGTCTGGGCTGTGGTTATTTTTATTACAATTTTACAAATGAGATTTCTCTTTACCTTAAATGTATCAACTATTTTTTAAAGCAGCAAAACATTTTTCCCCCACAGGAAACTCCAGTATTTGACACAATAGCAGGATGTTCTGGGAGGATAGTTAGGATCTACCTCATGGAGCCGTCCCTTTGCCGACACAACACTCCCCGATGCACCTCTACCTCCCTCCACAGAGTAGCCCCACACTTGGAGCTCCAGGGAGCACAGTTCTACATCCCCAGTCACAGGTTCCTATGACATGACCTCTGCCTCCCCCTCCAGCCTCATCTACGGCCCATCCTGATTCCCACTGTGTCCATCTATGGTAGCACATTGCGGGGCATTCGTGCACACTGCACACGGTGTCTGTTTATCCGTGCTGTGCCCTTCCTCACCCCCTGTTGGCTAGCAACCATACTATATCCTTAACACTTGGTTCAGGCAGCACCTGCCCAATGGGGTTTGATGGTTTTCCCTGCCTCTTCTCTCCGTACTCTGACCTGTTTGTAATCCTCTGTCTGGCTGTCTCCTATTCCAAACTGAGTCAGGGACATTACCTTACTGTTTCTCTAGTACCAATACAGAGTAGGTAGTTATAAATATGTACCAAAAAAAAAAAAAAAAAAGTACAGAGGCTGAGGCAGATGGATCACCTGAGGTCAGGAGTTTGAGACCAGCCTGGCCAAAATGGCAAAACCCCGTCTCTGCTAAAAATACAAAAACTAGCTGAGTGTGGTGGTCTGGGCCTGTAATCCCAGCTACTCGGGAGGCTGAGGCAGAAGAATCACTTGAACCTGGGAGATGGAGGTTGCAATGAGCTGAGATCATGCCACTGCACACTCCAGCCTGGGCCACAAAGGGAGACTCCATCTCAAAAAAAAAAAAAAATTCTGCTGAGTTTGGAATGCCCTAACTCAGTGAGATATGTTTAGGTTTGCTTCATCTCAACTGTTTGAGTATATAAATTAAGGAGACTGACACAAAATATAATATTTAGTAGCCAACAGCAGTTTGATACCTGATAAGTAAAAACAGTGTCCGCCTACCATCTAATATGACAGAAGAGAATAGGACAAAGAAAAAAATTGTTTTCCCTTCTTTTTAAAACTGGCTTTATGATTCTAAGGCTGTTTTTGTGGCTAAGCACAAAGAACCACAGCTCATCTGAACTTTTAAATAGCCCATTGCACACTTTTGATATCAGAGATGGGTTTTTGGAGGTTGTTTTCCATCTTCTACCATGTCTTTGGGACTGTAGAGTTAAACGTTGACATCACTGATATCAATCATAAAACATAAAACAATGGTTTTGAAACCTTCATATTCATTATTTCATTTGACCTTCACAGTAACCCCATAAGTTAGATAGAAGAGGTATGATTAACCTTGTCTTAAAGGAGAGAAATTTAGGTCTGAGAGTTTATAAATGTCTTCCCTTGAAGCCCCCAGGTAAGTAGTAGAGCATGACTCCTGATCGAGTCGCCTAAATTATCTTACCTCCACTCAGAAGTTTCCCAGGAGGAAATTTGTGTATAACATCTCCTTAAATGTTTGGCAAAGATTGGTTTTGCCCTGCCCTTCCATTGCATGTTTAGAATATTTTAAGTAGATTCTTGATAAGTCTGAATTTATACTATAGAGCAGCGATGCCATAGCCTGTTTCAATATATAGTGCTTCTCATCTTTATAGCAAAAATACTAAAAGGTGATTCATGGCTTGGTGATTACTCATTGATTTCTTAGTAAATGGGGACACTGTGTTTTTGTACAACAAACACAATTGTGTTTTCCCAGAAAGATAAGAAGTGGATTCTTTTCCACCTACAAAAAAGGAAGCGGCATACCTTGGGCTACTTACATTTTACAATATAAAATACATCTGTGTTGATTATTTAAGGGAGTTGGTTGCCTCGTTTCTCAGAAAGGAGGAAGAAATTTCTAGACTTCTTAAAAAATCAGCTCCAATAGCCAGGTGCATTATGATTTTTTTTTCCCCCCAGAAAAACTCTATATTCAGACTGGAGCTTGATAAATGTTTGTTGAAATGAATTGAATTGATTTATTCGCTCAGCTTCAGTTGTGTGATTTTGTGAGCAAATGGATGAATCTTACTGCTCTGGAGACCACGCAAATATTTGCCAGGTGTATAATTTGTACTTTTCCTCTATTCCAAGCAGGGGGAAGGCCAGTTACCTGTTACCTGGTGTGGCATTGTAGCAAGTTGCTTACTCTTTGCTTTTATATTTCCTCCTTTACAGGGATGCCTAGGTTTGTGTGTTTGGGGTTGAGGGTGGGGAGAGACAATGAAATAGAGGATGGAAAGAAAGAATTTCTGGGTATTGTAGAGGAGGATGACCTGGCTACAATACCGAGATGTAATCTCTTGGATAATTTGCATGACTGCAAGTTAGGAATACCTGTGACTCTCTATTTCCGTTTCCATTAAGGATCACATTATTCACTTTTTTCCTTACAGGTTTTAGTTATATAACATCAGTAACCCAGGAATGCTAGAGATGCCTCTATCAGATACTTTCATGACAAGTTTTAGCCAGAGTTATCTCATTCTTTCTCTTTGTCAAAATAGTGAAAGTTAGTGAAAACAGGACAGTGTGTCCTCTTCTTTGGGTGGAGGCAAAGCTGATTTTATATTCTCTTCAAAAGAGTTGCAAATTAGGCAGATTCTGATTTCTCCCCAGCTAACACTTCTGGTGATTTCAGCTGGAGAAAATGAATGTTTTGTGGCCTAAATGTTTAGTACATTTTGTTCTACCATTTTGTACCCACTTGTGAACTTATGAAGAGACACTTCAAATACTTCAGAACTTCAAAACCTTTCCATTCCCTCAAGAAACCTATCACAGAAGCCAATCACCAAAGCCTCCCTCCTGCTCCATATGAATATGCCCCTCTGAGAGTGCTTCAGGGAGGAGGTGCCTGAAGCCAAGCCCTCTGAGGCAACCCCAGCTTTCATGGTCTGCTGTAGGATGGGGAAATGGGATGAGCAGATGATTAATACGGAGCCATGGCTGCTCTGTCCTTGGGGTTCCAGTTTATCTGTTGCTCAGAACAAGATTTGCTTGAATAAGACGAATGCCTACGGTTAATCAGCTGAGTAAATAGTCATAAATTAAGATGTGACCAAGAATCCAGTGTTCACAGGGGATGGGGGAAAATACAAGACAGAAAAGACAAAAACAAAAAAAAGTCTGCTAACAGAACCCAAAACAGAATAGCAACATTGAAAACAGAACGCTCTTTGAGTATTGTTTTCTAGTCTAGAAGCATAGGAGATTTATGGCTACCTGATTAAGTTGATGAGTAATACTATGGTCAGATGTGCTCTTTGAAATTTGGCCTAAGTACTATGCATCATGGTGTTACCTCTCTCTGAAATCTATATATTTGTGAATAGCTAAAAGTAAGATAGGTATTGACAATGTTTTCTTTCACAGCCCAATCACTACTTAAATTATTTCTCCCTCAGCAGTCTTAATCTACATTCTCAGTGTTGAAGAAACTCCTTAGTCTGTGCAACAGTCTCTAGGGAGTATCTTTGCATTTCTAACAATCAACTCTGGAGATTAATTGGGATTATGAGGCCCATTTGCTCATAATCATAAGATTTCAGTGTCTGACTCAGGATCTTGTTTCTCAGGAAGCCCAAGGGTAAGGACACAGAGAACTCCTAGGCTTTAGTCTTGTGTCAGCCGAGTCCTGCTACAAGCTGCCCTTTTGGCCCTCCGAGGTCCTGGAGGTTTTCTTTTGAAATTTCCTTGAGGAACACGGCTCAGGTAGTGGACCAGCTCAGGTGCTCTAATTTCAGTGTGAGTCTGTGGGCAGTTGCACTCAACTACTTCTCCGTGGCTGGTGTCTGTTTCCAAAGTAAATACAGGGGAGAAAATCCCCTTTTTACAATCAGCAATTTGGGTTAGAGCAGAAGCAGTGAAAGTGCCTAATGCTGAAAATTAGTTTTTTAAAACAAGGATAGCTATACAAAGGTGTGTAAATCTACATATATATTACATATATATAATGAATTTGGTGTTTGTGCTGAGTTCTATGCTTTACTGGGAGTGAGTTTCTAAATTGTTATCAGTTCAAGAAAATTTTTTTTTCTTGGTAGCGCAGTGTCACCCTAAGACATGAATGTGGTCTTAAGGGCTGATTTTGCTAGAATAATGGCACTTTATACTAACATACACCTTTTGGGGGCATTTGGAGGGTAGAGGATATCTACAAAAAATTCTCCAGAATAAACATTTTAAGAAATCATAGATATTAACTCTGAAGAAGTACCAGGACCACAATCATTACTGCCTACTATTACTAAGAGAAGAAAAAATAAGTTAACTTTTTAACTCAGCTTGGATGAAGGCTGGGCATCCAAAATAAAAACTTTGATTTGTAGGCAAAACACCCATGTGGAAGGTCACATTGCAGAAGAATATTGCTGTCTTCCTAGACTTGAACCTCAGAGGTTAAGATGAGTTCAGAACTCTTGATAGTTTAAGAGCCATCTCTTTATTTTTTTTAATCCTGAGTCATCTCTTGTAGTCAGGTGTTTCATAGATTTAGTATGTGCTTTGGTTGGCAGTTCTTGTCTTTACTTGTTAATGTGTCTCTTTAAAAGCTCAAGGACCGACCTTGTTCTGTGCACAGTAAAAGTAGCAATAGTATGTAATCCCGTATGTATAGTATATGTATAGAGTAACTATGCCCATTATAGGAAAGGCTCGGTAGCAGGCTTCCGCAACATCATAAAGTAAGCACTTACTGCTTAGTATCCCTGCTTTACAGATGAAAAGTCTAAACCTTGCAAAATTTAACTTACCCTAGGTCACACTGACAGTAAGTGGCACAACCTGGAGTTGAACCCACAACCTTTTGACACCAGTGATTGAAACAGATATAATTCATTGGCATAATGAAAGCATGGTGGGGTCGACTGCTCAGTGCAAGAGTTCAGTCATCTAACCTTTAATTTAAAATTTTCTGGTTTAACTGAAGACTACTATTTCTAGTTCTTAGGATCCTTGTAAAGTAGAGCAGCCACCTTTAGTGTTGTTTACATGCTTTGTTTCTCATATCTGACCATTCTAAAAAGGTAGAAAAGAATTATTCTGCTCACAAATGACCTAGTAATTCTGCCAATATGTTGAAATAAATGTTTTTTAAATTATCCTATTTAGGAGGAGAGGTGACTTTAAGGTAGAAACCCAGCCAAAATATGTTGCTATTCTAGAAGGTTCTTTGGCTTGGGTCAATCAAATAACTTTGATGTTACTTTTGCATTTCTGAATACATTAAAGCCTCATTAGTTTTCAGAGAGGAGACTTGGGCAAAACTTGACCTTTTAAAGTACCTTAGAAGGAGGCGTTTACCAAGCAATTTAAGAGTATAAACAGGAGTTTAAGAAGTTTGTTGAAAGCTTCTGTCCTTAAGTACCCTTGGGTATCTTAAGACTGTTTATTCTTGTTGATATGCTAATCACAAGTCATTCTTCAGTATTAAAGCATTTCCTCCAAGGAATTAATACTTTCACTTAAATAGGGTTCCTGCATGTACTTGGTTCATTAAACTGTACTGTAAAGTAGTTCCTTATTTACATAGTGATACCAACCCTTGCATCCCAAATACACTGAGTTGGAGAGGCTTTGCAGAGTATTAAACACATTTATGTCAAACATTCGCCATTTTGGAAAATCTGAAATTATCAGTTGCTTATTCTTTGGATAAATAACACAAAAGAACATGTGGCTAAGTCACAAAGGGGATGCCTTTAAAGTTATGTATGGAATAATGGTCTCCCTCCATACTTGGGGTGTGGTAGCCTTGTGGAATCCAAAGGCTTAAAAGGTGAATAGATTTTTCTGAGGATTGTCTGGAGTTTTTAATGCCACATGAAGATATGGAAAATTTTATGGATCACCCTGGATGAGAACCCAGGATGAACCTTTCAAAAAATCAAACACTTCTCTTTGAAGCCCAATTTTGCATTTGTGTATGAACTAGACCCTTGATACTCCAGGTGTGGCCTGCTGTCCAGCAGCATGATCAGCACCTCCTGGGAGATTGTTGGAAATGCAGAATCTCAGGCCTTTCCAAACCCACTGAAGCAGAATCTGCTTTTTAACGAGACTCCCAGGTGATTTATATGCCCATTTAACTTTGGGAAGCATGAGATTAGGCCATCTCCTTGGTCCTGAGGACTAGAGATAGCTTGATTAGTGGAATGCCTTTCCTTGGCATAAATCCAGGGTTCAGGATGGGCAGGGTGCCTGAAATGCACCATTTAACTTTTGTGTTGAATGGTTCTCCTGGGAACTGAGAGGGCTCAGGCAGGGCCTTTTTGCCCAGTGTGGTTGGTTTGTCATATCCCACAGAGATGAATCACACATTTGGATAAGTGAAGAGGAGAAGGGAGATCTCAATTCTGGCAGTAACCAGGTTACATGATGCAGAGTCTGTAATACTTAGGTGGAGGGTACATGAAGATTTGCAACATTTGGCTACTACTATGAATTGGAAATTTTCCTCCCAACTCTTACAAATGCAATGATAGCCCTGAAACTCTGTCCTTCAAGATATTTTGGAACTTTCTCTGGTGCTGTTATTTCATATTAAAATGAGAAAAAGAACAAGAACATGAGAATAAATGAATTCTTTTCCTCTCAAAAACAACATCCAATCAAAATACCTAATGAAAAATGAAGATGACACATAATGCAATTTTTGTATGAATAGTTCTTTTGATTAATTATATAGAAGATCTAAGATGACCTTCTTTCAATGGTTGAGAGATCTGTCAAGTGTTTTTACAGTGATAGGATAGAGAATAGTCACTCAGACACACATATACACACCTCCTATATCTGCATGCATTCATACACACACACACACACATATATACATATATATATATATTTTCTCTATGGTTGTTGGGGAAAGTAAATAACATAGTTTGCATGAAGAATACATAGGGCAGCCCAGCCATGGTGGCTCAGGCCTGTAATCCTAGCGCTTTGGGAGGCCGAGGTGGGTGAATTGCCTGAGCTCAGGAGTTCGAGACCAGCCTGAGCAACATAGTGAAACGTCATCTCTACTAAAAATACAAAAATTAGCCAGGTGTAGAGGCACGTGCCTGTAGTCCCAGCTACTTGGGAGGCTGAGGCACGCGAATAGCTTGAACCCAGGAAGTGGAGGTTAAGAAAAAAGAATATATGAGACAGATTAAAGTGTCCAGCAAGTGTTATTATTATGGGAAGCAGCAGGTTAAAAGCATAAAGTTTGGGGTTGTATCCCTTGGGACCAGAATCTTGGCTCTACCACTTATTGGTAGACCTAGGCTTCATTGCTTAACCTCTTTGTGCTTTGGTTTTCTCTTCTGAAATTTAGGAATAATAGTACCTAGCTCATAAGGATTAAATGAGATAATACATGAAATGGCATTTAGAAGAATTTTAGGTATACAGTGAGTACTCAAAAAAGTTAGTTTTTATGTATGCAGTATACTCTGTTATCTGAAATTCAGTTACAGGATTGAGTTTCTTTGGGCATTTTTTTTTTTTTTTTTTTTTTTAGCAACAGAGCTTTAAACTTGTTATATGGAAATCTTTCACTTCCTCTTCCTCTTAATTGCAGTAGTTAATTTTCCTCATGCTAATTGGATTTCAACAGGGAGAAGAATTAACAGAAAATATTTGAATGTGGCATTATCAGATGTAGTCATCTAATATCTTCAAATGTCATAGAGAGCTTTTTCATTCTGGGTGTTGAGATTAGTTGTAAAGAGCTCTAGAAACACCTCAGAATCCTGGATCAAACAGCCTGGTTCCTAATCTAGATTCAGATTCAACAAATACGGATTGGCTACCAGGTTTGTTCTTGGCTACCAGCTTTGTTCCAGGAACTGTTCTGGAACAAATACAGAGGTTAAGACCATAGGTTTGGATCTAAGCAGATCTGAGTTCAAATTTTGATTCTGCTTATTAGCTGCAATATTTTGTGTAAATATTGTGTAAGGACAATGGTATAGACAATATTGGCAGAGGCAAAAGAACTAATTAAGAATCTCATTCACCCTCCTCAAAAACATTTGCTATAATGTTGTATTTTATGTCTTGTTTGTTCTGTAATTCTTCTATATGTTCATTGAAAAATATATAGAATATTTTCCTTTGGGTAGCCCATCTTCTAGCTCCCTGGGAAAGATTTCATTGGCCACTAAAAACAACTTAAGATCTTGCTTTGGGAGTAGATAAGTTCATTCACTCAGATTTAACAATTTTAAGACATACAAAAAAAGCCCTCGAATACTACTTTTAGAAGATCCTGGATACCATTGGCTGCTGCTTATTCCACAATGAATGTATGCTCGGTGTAACTAGAATACGCAAGAATGGATAGCTTTCAAATATTAGTGGGGAAAATATCCTTTACATCAAAACATGACTGAAATGGAATGGATTACAGGAATGTTGGAAATACTGGGCTAAAACATTATTCTGACTTTCCATCATCCTGTTTTGACAGGACCCTAGACAGGCAGTTTTGGGGAAATGTGTCAAATTTGTGTTGAGCTAGAATAAACAATCTAATTGTGTGACACTGCCTCTTGGGAATCAGGAGTCAGCTTCTTCCTCACCCTGAAGTGATTAGTTTATGCCCTGGAGCTGTCTGACCCTTGTAAAATTATCCCAGCTGGTAGGACTGCAGTGGCTGATCTCATTTTTCTGTGAATGTCTTATTCTTGTGGGAATCTTTATCAATCATCTGCCTCTCTTTGTACAATACAAGAGTTATTGTAGGATTGTTTCATGGGCTAGTAAAAGGAGGTGCTTTGTACCAACCAACAAATATTTCTTGCTCTCTTGCCAGTGTGAACCACTAATTCTGAAAAATATGATATGTGATTTAAAATATAAATAAGCACTCAGACCACTATCCAAAATTTCTAATTTTCCCAGTAGATTGGTGGTGGAAGTTCTGGTCATGTTTTACTGTTTTTCTTGAGAGATGAAGGTAGTTGATGATCTATATGGAAACTTTTTTGGGTGTTATAGCTGAGAGTCTGAATCCTAGTATTTCTAGGATTCTAGGATATCACTAGTTTTCAGCCATTCAGCAATACCAACCTCTTTTTTTTTTTCCAAGTTCATCCTAGAACTTGCAGTCTTTTTGCTTAATATTTTTCATTAAAGTATTTTATTTACTTAAATTTTTCAAAAAGAAAATTCGTTGCTACCGTAAATGAGAAACTCAATATTTTCAGCTATATTTAAAAATATAGTACATACTTTTTAAATTAAAATATTTGCCCTTGTCTCACTAAATCATGTTGGTATTTGGACCACTATACTTTAAGAAATAACACTTTCATTTGTGTTTGAGGCTTACCAGCATAGCAGAGGAGAGGGACTCAAACACAAATGAAAGCACTACCCGGTGCTGTAGTATGACTGTTGTAGGCCCTCCCCATTTTTGCCTCCGTGGGCCCCTTTCTCCAAGAAAAATAAAACAACAAAAAGTTAAAAATTAGGCTTTATAACCTCATTGGTGTAAGACAAATATTATATGTTAAAACATTTTCTTTGGCCTAAGAATTAGTTTTTATCTTCTAATTTTAAAATAAGAATAATTTTTTGTTGACTGCAAAAAGTACTGTAGGCTCTAGGTCCTGTGCTGTCTGCATCTAATGGATACGTTCGTTGGCCTGTAACCACCCCATCCTCTTCAAGAGATCTAAAGGCTTCACTCGGTGGTGGTGTGGAAACCACAAAAATGAAATGTATTTGGAATCTTCTGTTATATCCTTAAAATTTAGATGGATTCTCTTTATGCCACATGATAATCATTGTTGCGTCAGTTTAAAATTATGTTAATGAAATTACTATAGAAAGGTTGACTTAAACAAAATCTATGGTTTCCTGCTGCTGTAATACTTGGCATAGAGCTGAGTGCCCCAGGGAGTACTTGTGCTCTGGTTTGGAAGCACAGGCATGAGGCATGTTAAAGTAGAAAAGCTTTTCTTTTTTTCCTTTTAAACTTGTGCTCAAGAGAAGAAATTGGGTTTATAATGGATTTACTTGTTGTCAAAAACAAACTATAGATATCATCCTAGCACTGTGGCTACCATGCACAGACAACCTTAACAGTGAATAAGTAAGTCCATGCAGATTCTTTAGAAGATGGTAGAAGAATCTACACAGCACTATTTGGTTTCAAGCTCATTTGTAAGTCTTCTTTTCTTAGAGCCTAGTGAGTGATTTACACTCTCTTAGCTATTTCTAGCAAAGAGGAAGAACAGTCACTCTTGATGAGTGACTAAAACTGCTGCTTTTACCTCCTTTTTAAGAAGTCACTTCCCTAGGTTTCCTTGGTATTAAGAGGGGGATGGCTTTCCCCTTTTGTCCTCTCATTACTCTCTTATCTAGGACAGGCTATTATAAAAGCTTTTTGTTTGTGAGATCAGTTCTGATTTCTAACTTCCCCACTCAAACCGAAATACCACACTTGAAGTTCCCCCAAATTGCTGCTGCTCCGATGACTCCTGGGTATTGTACGCTAAATTCAAGGATCTTTATTTAGGTTCTTTGCTCTCTTGAAAAGAAAATCCTAATGAGTCACCCAGTTTGCTGATTGCTTTGTAGGTGTGACCAGTTAAATGCAATGATAGTGGAGTTGAAATAGAAGAAGTCATTTGGGCTAGCTCATTTATCCTGAATCTAATGTAGCCTGTTGGCTTCTCTTTACTTGTGTGTGTGTGTGTGTGTGTGTGTGTGTGATAGGCACTTCTCAGCTGAGGGCCAGCTCTGCAGGCACTTAGGACTTGTATACCAGGCATCTAGATGCTACTTAGAACTAGCTTGGCTGTCAAAGAGAAGAGAGTGTGCTCTATGTGTTTGGTGCCTGAGCTAGGGTTTTGTCATTTTTCTTTTCTTTTTTTTTTTTTTTCAGCAAATGAACCAGTGAGTGAAGGGCATTATCACAACTCCAAGAACCAACTAGGAGTCACCCATGACATCATCTCCTGAATTTCATCACCAAGCCCAGCTGATCCTATTTCCTAAATGGTTCCTGATTTCTCTCTTCTGTTTTCTGTCTCTGCCACCACTGTCCTAGCACAGGCATTGCACATCTCTCATATGAACGCCTGCAGGACTGTCCCTTGATGTTATCCTTGCAGCCCCTACATTCCTACTGTGCAGCCAGTAAAGTCATATTAAAATGCTTATTTGATCATGTCTCTCTCCTGTTTAAAACCTTTTGAATGATTTCCCATGTGATCAAGAGTAAACTTAGCCTACAAGGCCCAGGATGATCTGAACACAACCTTCTTCTTAGTGCTGTTCTTTCTCACTCTCTGGGATCCAGACATACTGCTTTCTCTTTACACAGAAAACCTAATTTGCTTCCTCCTGCCTCAAGACCTTTGCACATTCCTGCTCCTGGAATGTTCTTCTCCTGTTATTAACTCCATGTCACTTTCTCACAAAACTGTTCTTCATCCTCCAGAAGATCCCAGGCCCCGTTTGGGCTTTCATACCCCCGGCACATTCTGGTGGGGTGCTAAACTCAGATTATAGTGATACACATTGGTTGAATAATATATTTATCAGACTATAAGCTCCATGAGGCCAGAGACTTGTCTACTTTGCTTACCACAGTATTCCCAGTAACTAGCACAGACCTACCAAAGACTGGCTGCTCAATAATTTAAAGAATAAGTAGAGTGCAGTGCAAGGATGACATGCGCAAGGTGTATATGAATAAATAAGGAATCATACTTACATATCCAAGTCATCAGAAAATGTTTAATTATGGACCATATCTTTAATAGGGCACAAGGTTACATAATACAGCTTCAGTGATTTTTCTTCAAAAATCATAAAATCAGTGTAGAGACTTGAAGGCATTTATCTACAGTGACTCAATTCTGCATAGATTGTTAAGCTTTTAGAGTAATTAATGATCAACCACGCCAAGCAGAGTCTGACTGCAGTGCCCTTCTTCCTGCTGTTTCATCTGCCTGTGATCCTCTTCTCCAGACACCTCTGTTGCTTGTTCCTTCACTTTCTCCAGGTCTCTACTCAAATGTCATTTTATTAGAGAGGCCTTCCCTGACCACCTTATAGAAAATAACACCCCACCCTCTCCATTCCCTGTTCCCCTTACCATGTTTAATTTTTTTCCCGTAGCATTCATCACCATCTACCATCCATCCATCCATTCATCATTCATTCATTCATTTGTTCACTTCAGTCTCTTTTCACTAGACTGTGCCTTGTAGATAAATAAGGATTCTGTTTTTGTTGAGTACTCCATCCTTAGCACCTAAAACAATGTTAAAACAACTAGATGATACTAAAAGCATATTTTTTGAATGCATGAATGATCATAATGAAGAAAAGCTTACTATTTTATCCCCTTGCAACTAAGGAATAAGGAAGGGGAAAAAAAGTCCATTTTCACCTTTTGACCTCTTCTTGCCCTTCACCAAAAACTGAGTTCCCTGGTGTTTTTTCTCTCATATGCTGATGTGGTGCAAATAGCCTAGGCTTGAGGGTGAGGGTGAAGGTCGAGTTCCCACCCTATGATTGTATGCTCCATTGCAGCTCTTGACAGTCTATTAGAAATCCATAACCATAGATACTTCTGCTTCTAGGGCTTTCTTTGTGAGCCTAAGATTTAACTACCAACACCTATGTTGTCATGTGGCAAAAGTAAAGAAAAAAAAAAAACTCGGTGTTTTCACCTAAAAATAACAGCTTGCTCTTTGTCAAGTGGCAGCCTATTGCCTGCTCTTGCATTGAGTCCTTCTCCAGGCAAGATGTAATATAACAAAGGAAGAGACTGGTGGTCACAAGCCAGGACATTGCAGGGCTCATTAATTACTTGGAAAATGGTGCCTGGGCTGCAGCCAGAATCCCAAACAAAAAAGGAAATAGCTCCTGTTCTCTAATTGACAAGTTGATGAGTGAGGTAAGAATGAAAATCATTTCAGTAAGTAAAAGGGGGAAGAAATCAAATGGAAGCAGTAGTTGTGTTGAAGAACAAGTATACAATTAAGACATATTCCCAACCCTGAGAGGGTTGATTCACATCAGTTGAGACCATAGATGTCACTGTGTGCTCTAGGCCATGAGACGAATTCATTATCTCTTATAAAGGATAGGGAACATCAATTTAGGGTAAGTGTTGATAGTGTTGGAGCCTGGGCCAAAGTAGATGATATATATATACAAATGAGTTATTAATCTCGGCAGCTCCTAAATCATTTAGTCCTTATGAGAACTGTGTTGCAAATATAAAGAGAGTTAAATATTCTCACTCCAGAAAATAGGATCTATAATTTTGGCAAGGCTAAAAATTCAAAGCCATCTTAGTGAATTTGTTGTAATTAAATGGGGATCGTTTCAAGCAGGAGGAGTCAGTTAAGAAAAACGAGAATTTCGTAATGTTGTAAAAAGAGGTAATTTAAGAAAAGTACACTTAGTGGGTTAAACACTGTTCCATCTTGGTGTGATTATATTTTGGAGCAATGTTTATAGAACTTAGCCTGTCACTTTCACAATTCTGAGCTGTGCAAAATAGGAAGGTCCGGTCACCTAATACTTAGCAGAAATAAGGTCATCAGTACCTTTCTTGTGTGATATTAATACAGCTTTCCAAATTTGAATGACCATAACATATCTGTCCCATAAAAACACTGCATTAGGAGAAAAAGGAAAATGAAAACACACACACCCCACTGCTACTACCATCACCCCTACTATCACCTCAGAACCCCTACAAAGAAGCAAGACTTTCTTGTGGTTGTTCAATAGCCTATAAAAAATGTAAAGAATATTTATTTATGGAAAGAGACAGCTTTGGAGTTTGCAAGCAATCTCAAGGTCAAATCTTGTCCTTTGGGAAGAGGTAACCAGAATTGCCCACTGAGGGTCAGATGTTTGTAACTCCCAGAAATGTGAACGTAAAATGAATACTAAAGCTGTGCTGCAATCATATAAAGAGAAATGCAAACAGGGGCAAGATATGGGATGGGGTTTAAAGGAAAATTATTTGGTTTTTTGCTTTTTTGGGGAGGCATAGAAAAGATGAGAAATAAATGAAACTTTCTAGGAAGAGACAGAATTTAAGAACTAAGTTGAGCAATGGGAAGGAGGGAGGAAACACATTCAGTTTGAAATGTTGATTTCTGCTCAGACTAGACTGTCGAAGGCTTGGTTTGTAAATTGGTTGAGCAGAGTCATATGAGGAAGGAACTCCCCCTTTTGTTTTACTGAAACAAGTGAGTGAGGCATCTAAACTCATTTATGCCTTTTGGGTAAACCACCAAACACCTCTTTAATAATAACCTACTTGGTTGTGATGATACATTGATTTGGAGATAAATCAAAAGAATCATTGGAGAAGAAAGACTAGAATTCTCCATTAGGATATATAACTCTAGAGGCACTTTGAGAGGCAGGAAAATATGAGATGTGGTATAAATAATCTCTGCCTGGAAACCATGCAGCAGGCTTAGTCTCAATGCCCATTCACCTAGAGGTTGACTCCAGAGAATCTGCAGAACAGCATAAGTGAACAAAGGTTCTGTTTCAAAGAATTGCAAGCAGGTGCTGTGGCAGTCATTGATACTGTTCAAATAGTTCTGTACTCCCTCCATCCTGGGCACATTTAATTACTGGTGCCAGATCCTTCAGGCTTCTCTTTCCCCAGTGAAGGTGACCAACAACCTGAGAGATGGTGGCTGCTCAGGGAGCCTTGGTGTTTTGTTTTGGAATTATAAGTAAGATTGATGCTTTATTGAGATTTCTCTAGTTTAGTCTCATTTTATTGGGATTTCACTAGTTTAGTCTCATTTTCATTACATCATATTGAAGTAACATACTATCAAAATGAGTTATCCCTGTTGAGGCTGATGCAGCAGTGACTGTCAGGTTTCTCTACTGTAAACGGCTCACCCCTCTCCATGCTGTATTCTTTGGCAGGTCCCTATGTGCAGCCCACAGCTAAGAAGTGGGGAGTTAGACTCTACCTTGAGGGTTGTATTAGTCCATTTCAACATTGCTATGAAGATATATCCAAGATGGGTAACTTATAAAGAAAAAGAGGTTTAATCGACTCACACTTCCATGTGGCTGGGGAGGGCCTCATTATTATGGTGGAAGGCAAAGGAGGAGCAAAGGCATGTCTTACATGGTGGCAGGCAAGAGAGCAGGTGCAGGGGAACTGTCCTTTATAAAACCATCAGATCTCATGAGACTTACTCACTATTACAAGAACAGCATGGGAAAAACCAACACCCATGATTCAGTTACCTCCCACTGGGTCCCCCATGACATGAGGGGATTAGGGAGCTACAATTCAATATGAGATTTGGGTGGGGACACAGCCAAACCATATCAAGGATAGAGTAACTGCATACATTATTTGAATTCTTCTGCATAGGAGATTTGTCTTTTCTGCCCCATTTATTCATTCATTTATTCATATCAATATAGATTCATGTGTATTTTATTTTGTACATTGGGTTATATTCTAATACAACCTTATGTATTTTGTTGCTCAAATTTTTCCAGCTTTGGCCATTGGAAACTCTCAGTTGTCTGCTGTGCCCCTTTGCCACAGAGACACCTCCCTCTTTTTTTGTTTTTTTGTTTTTTGAAAGGAATCCTCATTTTCTGGTACCATAAGGTGCTTGAGAGTGATGATTTCTGAGTGATTGCAACAAGCAAAGCCTTTCTGCCAGCCTGTGGAGAACACGTATTCCTACTGAGTAAACAAAACTCTGTTGAGCCACTGAGACTCAGGTTGTTTCACAATTTAATCTAGACCAGTGGTTCTCAAAATATGTTCCTGGGACCACCAACATCAGCATCTGCTGGGAACTTGTTAGATATACAAATTATCTGGTCCCACTTTAGACCTGAAGAATTGGAGACTGTGGGATTGGGACCCAGCTGTTTGTGGGTAACAAACCCTCCAGGTAATTCCCATGCACACTAAAGTTTGACAGCTTTAAAAGCTTTATAGTTTCAGATCTAGTCTTCGTAATTTATATGAGTAACATAAAGAGGCCAAACTCAATGGATCTTTTGGTTATATTTAAATTATTATATGTTGTTCCACAGCAAAACATTAACAAAGTTACTTTAAACCAAGATGGTTGGTTTTCTTCATAATAAAAATGTAAAACATCTTGAAAATACATGGATATGAAGGAATATTACTTTGGGATGGGGTATAGGGCTTGCTGTACACTGGGTCCATTTTTGCAAACTTCTAGCAATAGCTCTGCCAACTTCAGGAGATCTCTGTTGGGATCAAATAAGATGGTGGATTCAACAGTGCTTGGTGAGCTGGAATGAACGTATGGATTATTTTTGAGTTAAGCCTCTCTCCTATTAGACTGTAACTGCCATAAGGATAAAGACTAGGCTACTACCACTGCGTAGACCAGTGCCTGATACAGGGTATGTGTTTAGTGAATGTTTGTAAAATGATCACGTTATTTTTTGGGCTTTTGTTTCCGCATAATGCCTTGGGCTTTCTGCCACATCTGCACAGCACTTGTACTATTATTCTCTTACTTAAAAAACAAAAAACAAAAAGCTGAGATGAAATTTACATACAGCAAAATATATGGCTTTTTTTTTTTTTTTTTTTTTTTTTTTTTTTTTTTTTTTTTTTTTTTTGAGACAGAGTCTCGCTCTGTCGGCCAGGCTGGAGTGCAGTGGTGCAATCTTGGCTCACTACAACCTCTGCCTCCTGGGTTCAAGCGATTCTCCTGCCTCAGCCTCCCAAATAGCTACGATTACAGCCTGTGCCACCAGACCTGGCTAATTTTTGTATTTTTAGTAGAGAAGGGGTTTCACCATGTTAGCCAGTCTGGTCTCGAACTCCTGACCTAAAGTGATCCACCTGCCTCGGCCTCCCAAAGTGCTGGGATTATAGGCATGAGTCACTGTGCCCGGCCCAAAATATGTGATTCTTAAGTGTACATTGTAGTGGATTTGATACAGGTACTTGTACTATACTAACAAAATAGATTTATTTAAATTGACTCTTTTTGTCCCATTTACAACTGCATTAATAGCCATAAGCTCATGGTTTTGTAGTCTGTTATATATTTTCCAATGAATATTAAAATCAGTAACCCCTAGCTACCTCTCCAATAGCTCTCTTCTTCCATCCTTTCAGAATTTTGTTCTTGGAGGAGAACAGCTTACTTATTTCCAAATTTGTAGGCTTTTTTTTTTTCCCTCCCAAATACCAAGAGTCCTCAGGTCATTGTGTTGAAACAGACAGAGGAGTGACTTTTGGACCACAGAAGAGTTTGAGAGATTGTTTCAATTGGACTGCCTGTTTTCTTGTTTTTCTGTTTTCCAGGACAACTTTGGAAGAAGCTGACTGCTTTGAAATCAATTCGGTACACTTCAAAAATTAACTTGCTCCATAGGCATTTGTGGTACACCAGTTAAACACAGAGTTCTGTGTTAGGCACTAAAAGAATATCCTTAGAAAGCTAGCTGATAGGTAGCCTTGTGGGAGAAAGGAGTAAAGTCCACGAGTAAGTATAATCAACAAGGCACGATGCAGGGCACTTCAGAAGACTTGAGTTGTGTGCCATGGGATCAGGCAGTACCCTACTTCAGTCTGTAGATTTGTTCACTAACTTGAAATGGGAGTAAATTAAAATTCAAACTGCACTCATCCTGTTTATGTATTCGGTTTACTGATAATCACAGGTTAGTAATTCAGATCTCAATGGCTGAGATGTTTGGGCTAAGTATTGTCAAGGGATTGTCATATCTGCTTTAGAACTGGTTTACAATACTACACTCATTTTATTTACATTACAAAAGTAATGAATGCTTATTGTGGAAATGTAGAAATATGTAGAAAAATGAAAATGAAAATCCTTAATCACTCATAGTCCAACTGCCTAGAGACTATTGCTGGCCTTTTTGTTAAAAATACATTTTCCCATGGTTAGGATCATACTTCATGTAAAGTATTGTAACTTTAAAAATATTAGCATTTTTTTCATGTCATCAAATATTCTTTATAATATTTTAATGGTAGAATCGAAGTAGATTGTATGTATCTACTGTCCTTTACATGACAGTTTTATCATGCATTCCAATTTCTTGCTGTTATATCTTTGAACATAAATCTCTATGAATTTTTCATAATTTGTGTATATAATTATATGGACACTATTTCTAGATATAACTAGGCTCAAACCAATTAACACAGCCTAATAAGGCAGAGGCAGACTGGGAGGGGCTGGAAACCGGCCCATGAGCTGGTGTATGCCAACAAACACACCTTGCAGGTGCTGCCAGAAGGCCTCGTCTGGCAGCCAAGGCACACAATCTGAAAATTACAGCAACAGACCGGATTCTGGTAGCACTTGGCATCAGGACATCCAGAGAGCTTGTGGAGTTTCCCAAGAAGTCTGCTTAGATGTCTTAAGACTGAGAAAAGAGGGAGGAAGTCTAGTGAGAAGCAGCCTGGCCATCAGCCAGCCTGGGATTCAGCTGAAGGACCTCGGTCTGTTCAACCCACAAGCATTGAGGGGCTACTGTGTACCAGCACTGTGCTGGGAGCTTGGGATACTTCCACAAACAGACGCAGATCTCTGCCTTCATGGAATGCATATTCTAATGACGAAAAGCTTCCATGGATGGGGACTGACAAAAGCGAAGTGGCATTCTGGTTCTAGAGGAACTGGATATTGAGTATATTCAAGATAGACTCAGGTAAAGGGAACAAGGCAGAGGCCAGTGATCAGCACTGGCTTCTCTAATGAACTGAGCTGAATATCAGAGTGGACACATGGCTAGAGCCACACTCATGGCAAGGATGACTTATCAAGTCTCAGAGTAGAGCCTACAAGTGCATCTTTCTGGCCTAAGGCCATATTAGTCCAAACAGTGAAGATTTGCCTCAGCCCACACATGGCAGGTTCAGGGCTGACACCTGAATTTTTACACCTGGTTGTAGGAGATGGGAGGTAACTTAGTGCCAATGAGTGAAATGGAGAAAACAGAAATGTGTATTTAGCCCTCTGACTAGCATGTATTATATTAGGTTGTTAATAAAGGTTTGTTAAAGGGATGCATGAATTTAGGAGAAAAGAAAGACGAACATCATGGGGAAGGCATGGGAGACAGAAAATAATACTAATTGATGTAGCATAGTCATTATGAGCTTGGGCAGAGTCAGACAGTCCTAGATTCAAACGTTAGCTCTTCCATTCTCTGTCTTCAGTTTCCTCACCTGTAAATTGGGCTAATAATAGTACCTTCTGCACTGTACGGTAGTTAGGCAATTCCTATAAAGAGATAAGCACACTTAGGGCCGGGCATGGTGGTTGATACCTGTAATCCCGGCACTTTGGGAGGCCAAGGCAAGTGAATTCCCTGGGGTCAGGAGTTTGAGACCCTTGGGCAACATGATGAAATCCTGTCTCTACTAAAAATACAAAAAAAAAAAAAAAAACAACTTAGCTGAGCATGGTGGTACATGCCTGTAGTCCCAGTGACTTGGGAGGCTGAGGCACGAGAATCACTTGAACCTAGGAAGCAGAGGTTGCAGTGAGCTGAGATCATGCCACTGTACTCCAGCCTGGGCAATAGAGCGAGACATTGTCTCCAACAGAAAAAATAATAAAAAAGAGTTAAGCACATTTCTTGGCACACATAGTAAGCATTCAATAAATTTTAGCTAATAAAAGTAATGTTTAATGTTTGGCTTTTGGGGGATATTAACATATTACACATTCTCTGGTGAGGTTCAGCTTTCTTAACGTCATGAACCTAGAAAACTGGGAAAAATTACTTTCATAAGGATGGTGGGATTTCATATATACACACACCCCTATACATGTCACTTTTGTTGTTGTTGTTACTGAAATGAGGGCTTCTCCAGTTTAGAAATGAGGCAATGAAGAGTGGAAGGATTAACATAAATAATCTTAAAAAAATTGTTGGTTGATTGGAAATCAAAGACTTGGAGTGGGGAGCCATAAGAGGAAGATATCTTCCCGCAATCCACATTACCATTATAATTACCGAAATATAGGTCCACGTAGAAGAGCCTGGTAAAATTAAGAGATTCAAAGGTACGTAGTTTCGATTAAGCTGCTAAATAGCTTCATTCTTCAATCGTGGTTAGAACAGCTTCTCTCCCTTCTGCTTATGCTAGGATGGTATAAGACAAAAAGATCTAGAGCTAGGGTTCTCTATCAGTTTCCTATTTTGTTTGGGCTTCTGCTCATTGGAGCACTATTTATCCTGAGGGCATTTGTAGTTCTCCCTCTGGGCAAAGTCTAGAAATCTTTTCTGCCTCCTGAAAATCTGTTGCTTGCATGGTAATCTTGAGAAAATATTTCTAGAAGTGAATGAAATGGCCAGGCACTTCATTTAAGCAGATTATCTTCTACCTTCTTTGACTATGGAACTCAGGCCTGGATAAATATTCTATTAGGAAAGGTGTGATCACAGAAGATCCAGTCAGCAGGTAAGAAGTATATGTAATACACATCTATCGTTATGGATAAGGAACAGTAAGTGGGAATAAGGGAGCAGAAGTTTCATGGAAAGTCTTGCTGACCAACCTCAAGAATGAAATATGGCATTGTAACTATATCCGCCCAAATAGGATGCCCAGGCTTAAACCGTATTTACATGCAAAGGCGTCCCACAGTGCCCAGTATTACTGTTTCTTTATTCAACGTTTGGACCTCATGTCCCTTCCTCATCTTTGCTTATCTGAGGTCTTTTGCTTTCTCCCTGTTCAAAACCTGCTTTCCGTTCCTCTTGCGACTTCCTCTGTCCAGGAAGCACAGACTATCACTCCATTCTCACTTGGAGGCTCTTACCTTCTCTCCTTCCAGCTAAGGGGTATTCGTGTCTTTGTTTTTCTTCATAGGAACTTCCTGCCTGGCATGAGATTGCCATGGATGCCTGGTGGCCAGGCTTGCCTTTGAGCTGTGATAATGCTGATCTCCTGGAGTCCTGTTAGTGCACAGCACACTTTTACGTTCTCTTTCATGTTTGGTTGGCACAAAGTGCTCTGGGGTGGGCAGTAGGTACTTCATTATCCTCATTTTATAGTCATGAAACTGGCTTAGAGAGGTGAGGCTGTGGGGAAGAGGTGAAGCTGTGTCAGAATCCAGAGGCTTCCACAGGGAAAGGAGCTCTTGTGTTTCTCATCCCCACTAGGATTCCAGGGAGCATGAAGCTCCCTGCCAAAGGGCTGTGCTGTTAAAATGAACAAAAAGGAAAGTTGAGGTCTTACTTTAGAGCACTGCATTAGAGCAGTAACCCTACTTCTACCTCACTTTGCTGACCTTAAACATGATATTTATTTGGTATCACAATTGGAACTGGAAAAACTGGCCCCTTCAGGGATCTATCACTGTTGGTTGGTAAGTACCCACAAAACTTTCTAGTGCACCTGGAAATGCTGATGGAGATTTTTCTCACTGATCCCAAGGACACTTATTAATGGACTTTGCCTACCTCTCAAGCAGAGCCATGATCTGGAAATAAGCCATAAAATGTATGTCATCAGGTCCCTCCGAGGGGACTATGGTCTTTGTTCTTAGACTGTTAGGCCTTTCCTCAGAGCTGTTTATGCTTATTTTTAAAAAATTGTCACAGAAGCTTGACTTATGTGGTCATACAGCAGGTTACAGTGGCACAGAGATAACAGCATATAGTAGACCCTGAGAGAGAGGAGGGAGACAAAAACACTGAAAATGAAACACAGACCTAATTTTTAAAAGAAAGGCACACAGTCAACTGATAGGAGGTTAAGAGTGTGCTCAGTTGTTACAGCACAGTATCAAGGATATTTGGAACAAAAGGCCTTAAGTTAGTGTGAAAATGGTTAACTTTAAGGAGTAAAGGAAGTGTGTAATTCATCTTAGGAAATTTGCCGTGGAAAATGGAGGAAAACAAAAACCCATTTTGTTAGTTTTGACAAGGTTATTAACGGATATCAGTCAAAATATGTTGGAGAAATTTAAATGAGTAATGTAGATTTTATTTCCATTACTAGATACTCAGTTCACCAAAGAAGCTATCTGATTGGCCTGTAAAGGGGCTGTATGAATATGTAAAGATACTTAACATCGGTCATCAGGCAAATGCAAATTAAAATTGCAACGAGATACACTACGCACTGTATGACTAAAGTTAAAAAGACTGACAATATCAATTGTTGCCAATGTTATGAAGCAACCGGAACTTTCATACCTTGCTGATAGGAATGTAAAATGATACATTCTAAAGTGCCACTTTAGAAAGCACTTTCATAGTTTCTTATGGTTATTTATACACCTACCAGATGACCTGGCAAATCTACTTGCAGGTATTTACCCAGGAGAAATAAAACACACGCCAGTACCAAGATCTGTATTGAATGGTCATAGGAGCTTTAGTCATAATAGCCAAAAGTGGGAAATGATCTACATACTTATCAAATGGAAAATGGAAAAACAAATCTTGCCACATCCATATAGCAGAATACGACTAAACAATAAAAATGAATGAGCTACTGATACATGCAACAGCATGAATGAATCCCAAAATTGTTATGCTAAGTGAAAGAAGCCAGCCTCAAAAGGCTGTGTACTGTGATCCCATTAATATCACATTTCAGAAAAGGCAAAACTATAGGGATGGAGAACAGATCAATGAACTAGGATTATGGGGAGGTGATGTGACTACAAAGGGGCATGAGAGAACTTTTTAGGATTAATTGTGGTGGTTATGTGACTGTATACATTTGTTAAAATTCATCAAACTGTACATTTAAGATGGGTGAATTTTAACATAGATTATACCTCAACAAGAAAAAACAAAATTTGGAAATTGCATTACTAAATTAATAAACAACCTATGCATTTTCTTTTATTTGTCCAGCCTTTCAACAAAATTTTCTTGCACGCAAACAGTCTACCAGGCACTGTGCTTATCCCTGGGGATAGAAATATGAATAAAATGAGATCCTTGCCCTGATCACTTTTAGTTCCAGACCCTTTTGCATTAAAAAGATTCTCCAAGCTAATAGAAGGTTGCTAGTGATTGGTTTTCAGGAGGAGACAATTTTTTTTTTTTTTTTTTGGCAGTTGGGGAAGGAAGGGTGCATTGTTTATTTGTATCTCTGAAGACTCTGAAAGTCACTTCAAATGACAGTGATCTGTTGTAAGCGCTAGTAGAATAATAGATTCTGTCATCAAAGGGATTGGCACAGTTTATGGTAAAAAAAAAAAAAAGAAACTTATAAAGATCAACTATACAGGATTCAAGTTTTTAAATTTAATACAAGCTACCTTCCTTTCATACTCTGCTTTTCCCTAAGGAAATTACTGGAGTGTTTGAAGCCCAGAAACTTGCTGTAGTCCCTAGAAACAATGTGGTGATGTCAGACTTGGGTGAATAAACAGTAGCACCTGTTCAAGACTTCATGAGTCTTTTTTCTCCCCCTCTAGTCTTTTTTGGCACAGCCTGAGGTTAGTTAATCTTTAAAAGAAGGAAAACGGAATGAGCCAGAAGGTAGCTTGATTCTAGACTATTTTTAGAAGGCTCCTCCATGCTGCTCCTGAGTGCCAGGTTTTTGAGAGCCTGGCAGGGCAAGCCATTGCTGGATGCCCTAATGTGGCCATGAATCAGCTCTAGGTCCTCGCAGGTCTCTGATGGCCACCAGTCCTCCCGGAAGATGCTTTCTGTGCTGCCCTCTCTTCTCTGTCATTCTCCTCCATCTCCCAGGCATCTTTTCCAACATTCTGTTCCACTCACTCCATATCCTCAGGAAGGCGCCTTCCAGTTTCTACGGTCACAGTGCAGAGGATTGTGTATGTGTGTGTGAACAGAGAGGAGAGAGCGAGAGAGAGCAAGGGCAAACAGGCAGGCTACTTGGGTGATTTTCCTAAAAGCCAAATCTCACATTATTCTTCCAGTTCTTAAAACCCTTCTTTCCATTTTAATTTGTTCTAGGACAAGCACCCTGGTGTCTGGTGCACAGTCATTGTGATCAGCCCCACCCACTGTCCAGTGCTGTACTTGACACTTCCCACCCCTCAGTCAGATACTTTTGTTGGTGGGAGGTGGTTTAGGAGGGGTGATGATAACAGTGGTGGGAGAGCTGGTGAAGAAACAAGGCACTGGTACTTGAAGACTTGCTCTCAGCTCCTGGAACAGGCTCCTGGGTTGTCCAGTGTGGTTGGCCAGGGAAGGAAAGGAAATGATGATTAAAAGACAAATACGCAGTTGGAGAAAAAAACTGCCTTTGGCGGGAGGCGCTCCCTGTGCTGTATCTGTCGAGTAACTGAGTGCTGAGCACGATGGGGAAAGGGAAAGGTTACTATCTGGGGCCTTGCTAAAATCTTTGAAAGACCTTGTAGTAGGATAGGGGTTGCAAACTGATGGCCAGAGGGCCAGGCATGTAATTCTCATGAGTGAAATGGCCAGTTTGCTCAGCCCAAAGGGGACAGCCACTCCTCATTTTCCAATTATTGCCGTGGGAATGGGGATCCAGTGTTGTAGGTTTTTTTTTTTTTTTTTTTTCTTTCTTTTTGAGACATCTGAGTCTCTGTTTCGCCCAGGTTGGAGTGCAGTGGTGCGATCTTGGCTCGCTGCAACCTCTGCCTCCCTGCAACCTCTGCCTCCCAGGTTCAAGCGATTCTTCTGCCTCAGCCTCCTGAGTAGCTGGGATTACAGGTGGCTGCCACCACGTCCGGCTAATTTTTGTACTTTTTAGTAGAGACGGGGTTTCATCATGTTGGCCAGGCTGGTCTTGAACTCCTAACCTCAGGTGATCTGCCCACCTCAGCCTACCAAAGTGCTGGGATTATAGGTGTGAACCACTGCGCCCGGCCTGTTGTCAGATCTTAGATTCTTCTTCTTTTTTTTAGAAAAGCTAGACTTTATGTAAAAGTTCCAAAATATTCATATTTAAAATTAAAAAGAGACACACACACACACTCCCTCCCACCCCCAACACCAACTATTAGGATCAAACAAAATATTTTCAAGCAGAATATAGTTCGAAGGCCATCAACTGGGGCCTCTTCCCTAAGAGTTGTGGCTGTAACATCAAAGAACATCACTGTGCTTTTGGCATTTGGGGCAAAATAATTTTTCTTTTTGTGGCACTCACTGTATATCACAGATTTCTAGCATTTCCACCCCCTAGTCCCATCCAATATTGCTTTTCTGTCGTTCTGACAAAAATGTCCCCAAATTTTCAAGTAACTTATAGGGTCAGCTGAGGTTTTCCCAGTTTTAGTATAGATAATACCCAAGCATCTTTGTGTTTCCTTTGCTGGGAATAATCTCCGGCCAAATATAACACTTCAGTTCTTGGTAAAAGCTAAATTTCACATCATTCTTTTATGTGTCTAGCCTTTCTTATCCTCAGTCACCCTTCCTCTGATTTCTGTGGGTTTTGTTTGGGTGAATGCACCTGGCCTTCAGGTTATAGCTGAATCAGGAGGTAGTTGGCTGGCAGAAGGATTACCTGGAGACAGTTACACATCTCACACCTTTCTCTGGCTATAGCAGCCCTGACTCAACAGCAGATATTCTGTCCTGAGGTTCTTCCCAGGAAGTGCCGTGGTGTGTGAAGCTGGCAGCGTTCCGGCCATTTTGGAAGGTTGTCATAAATGGTGGCACTGCGAGCTGAGGTTGGGTGATGCATGCTCTTTAAGAAAAGGCTAATTTTCTGGAAAGAAGTTTGGCTATGCCTAAAAATGTTCATCCATCTCTGAGGAAATAATGAGAAATATGAAAAGGCTTTATGCACAATTATATTGTTTGTAAAACTAATTCCAATAGCCAAAAACAGTAAACAAGTTAAATGTTCCACGTAGGAAAATGATTAAACAAATTTTGGGCTAGCTATATGATGTAATGATAAGTGGCCTTTTAAAACAAAGTTTATGAAGAATTTTTAATGGTAGGGGAAATACCATATAATCAAAAGATGATAGGATGTATTACTCATATACACACAGTTAGATATAGGTATGCCTATTTTTATAGGTGATTTTCCGTCTTCTCTATACTTTTCCAAATAGTCTACAGTAAAAACAAATATTGCTTTTTAAAAAAATAACTTTTAATTTTAGATTAATTTACATTAAATTAAATACAAAAGTTGCAAAGATAGTAGTGAGTTGCAGTTACCTATCCAGATTCCCCTACACTTTTATTACTTTTAAAAATTAGAATAAGTTACTTTAAAAATAATATAAAATGGGGTTTTCTAGCATATATTATCACGAGATAGCTTTTCATAGTCATTTAGGTATATTGTAAAAGAGGCGTTCAAAGAAAAAAATTACATTATCAAAAAGGCCCGTGTGACTTAGACTATATTTATTAAAAATGCTACATTTAACTGAGATCTCATGCATTTCACACATCCTGGATGGAACACTGGAGCGTTAGAAAACCCTCTTTAAATCATTTGTCCTAAAGTGATTTAAATGAATCCATTGCTTATCATAGGCTTGCTTTTGGATTTGATGCCAAAATAGACTTGTATTTGAGACCAAAGAAGTTATTCATCTTTCCTCCTTGAGCTATATATTTAGTTATTCCTTCTCAGACTTCCTTAGCCATATAAGTCAGTTTTATATGAGTCTATAATGGATATGAGTTTTAGATGCAGTCATCTGAAATTGAATTTACCAAGTAGATGCTATTTTAATACTTTGTTTTGACTGATCAACTCGCCAAAACTGGAAGCTAAAAATAATACACCTTGTCATTTTAGCAAGTCAAGCCATCACAGAAAATATTAAGAAATGACAGCAACTGGTATTTACAGGGCTCTCTTTGCCATATTCCTAATTGGGAACCCTTTAGGAAAGGGCCAGGGAGTGGCTGTGGATCTGGGGTAGAAAGTGGCCTGTTTTTGAATTTATGGAGTAGCGCACTGTCAGGGCCCCTTTCTTCACTCAGAAATGAAAGGAGCTGGTTCACCAGAGGGTGTGAGAACTCATTAACCACCCCCAGTGCTTCCCACCCAGCAAGGGATCAGAACATGTGCTGCTGTTTCAGAGCATCACAAAATCTTGTTTTCATGTGAGGATTTCAAAGGCTTAGATTGTTCAATTTGAAAATTTTGTCACAGAAGCGAAATGGGCACCTCTATAACTCGTGGTGGTGTTATTTTGTGGGAGGACCATCCATGTCTTTTTCCCCTATATTTTGAAATGAGGTCAAACGGACCTGTTCCATCCACTCACTTGGCATTTACTCTTCTTTGGGTGGGGCCCCTGGGAGTGTTTTAATTCGGGGTCGTAGGGTAAGAATAGATTAACATGGCATGACAAATTGGTTTGCTACAATCATAATTCGAAAGGTAGGTCAGGGTCTGAAGGGCAGAGTAGTGGTTCTCATTGGGGTTGGGTTTGGAGGATATAGTGGGAACAGAAGGATCATATGTAAGATTCACCCAAGAAGGTTTTTGGCCGCTAGGTTCCCCATCTGCCTGGTTAAGAATCCCCCAACAATAAAATGCCCCTATACCTCCTCCAGCTTACAAGGCAGAATTCCTGTGATGTGTAGGGCAAAACAACCCCCTACTCTTTTGTTATTAGTATTCTGCTGCTTTCTAAGTAAATGTTCTTAACTAAGAGAAAAATCTATACACTCTATCTCTAGAAGGCCAGCTGGAGAGGGAGAAGAAAAGAAAATTAAGAGACAATTTGGTTGGCTATCATTAATCTTTGTTTAGCCTTATGGGAAAATAAGCCTTCCTTCTTCTATCTTTGTTAGCAGGTAGATTAAGTTGGTTAAAGAATACTGTAGTCCATGAAAGAAAAGACAATGGCCTTTACAAAGGTATTCCAAAGCAGCCGAAAATATTTTTTTTCTTTCAGCTATTTTGCTGTCTAAGACTCAATGACACTTGACTGATTTGGGGTCAGTATCTAATAAGCGCATTTCCCAGATGAAAAACCAGCACAGCTAGGCCTTCTCCACAGAGCCTATACCTAGGTCTATCGAAGGAAGAAGATCATTCAGAATTTTATTTTTGCAAACCTTCAAATGTTAAGATCTGAATAATCTATTTAGGACAGTCAGAACTGCCTAATGGAAGTTGCATAATTGAGTAGAATTAAAAACCGCTTTCCTTCAGGTCCTCCCTCCTTTCCCCCATCTGTGACAACCTTTGACATTGCACAGATTTTCAAAGTCGTACTGTAAGATTAGTGCCAGGGTTCTTTCAAAGGAGGCTTGTAAGTGAAAAATCTGTTTTCGCATCCCTCAAAGCTGGAAGCCATAAAGAAAAGAAAAGAATATGCTTTTAATGAAGTCTTTGCAGGATCAGCTCCTTGCAACTTCAGTTGTTCATGTGAATCAAAAATAGCAGAAAGTAGGTCATATTGTAAAAATGAATTAGGCTTCACTTCACATTTTATTGACTTTACTAGGCTTTTTTCATTCACAGTGGTTGATTGTTAGCTAATGACTGGCATAAATAAAAAGGCATTTATTCTCTTATTTTCCTTATTTTGCCATCTACTTCTTTAGAATATCAGTGGGGCACACTATGTGCTTAGGGATTTAATTTTTTCATGTATCATTTTCACAACAACCCTGAAAGCTGGAATTTTTATGCTCATTTTATATGTGAGGGAACTGAAGCTCACAGAGTTTAAGGTAAATGACCCAAGGACACACAGCTCATTAGAAAAGATCTGCAGTTTGGACACATTTCTCTATCTGGAGGCCCTGCTGTTTTCAATTACATTCTTTTGATTTAAAAATATATATTTTTGATATATATTAGTGGGAAATAATTAAACTGAAGTAATATTGCCAAATCTTAATTGCCTCATGAGACAATGAAAAATACTTACCATGGTATTAAATAATTTTTTAAAATGATAATAACATTTATTTGAGCACTTAGTAGGGACCAGGCATTATGAACGAGTATAGGAAACAGCAAATACACAAATAAGTAATAGTTAACGTGTCAGATAGTGAAGCTACTACAGAGAAAAATAAAATAGGGTGTAAGGAGTGTGTGTATGTGTGTGTGTGTATATAGCAAGGGATTCTTGCTTCAGAGAAGGCATCAAGAATAGTATGAAATTTGAGCAGAAATTTCATAAGGAAAGTGCAGGAGCAGGTCTCTCAGACATCTGGATGAAGATTACAGAAATAACAAGTACAAAGGCCCTGAGGTGGGTGGGGTTGCTGTGTTTGAGGAAGAAGGAAGTGGCCATCTCCACAGCGCCCTCCATTGTTTCCTTAGTGACTTCCTGCCACAGCCACCAGCTCTGTCATTTGAATGCCTTTGTCCTCAAGGGGCAGAGAGACTCCCTTAGAGGGCATGAGGAAAGGCAGGCAGAATCCACCCCCACACTGGAGAGGGTGGGGAGCCAGTTTCATTTACATATTTAAATATCTTCCTCACAAGCAATAAATCTCAAATCATTTTAATTGAACATTTAAATCCTTCTCACTGGTAGGTATTTCAGGCATTCGGCTTTATGCCAATTATTGCGTCATCTTAAAAGAGAAGCTTTTAAATTTATTAAACCCATTACACTTGAATATTTGATTCCTGCCAAAACATAATTTAAAATCCTCACTTTAAAATAATTTGGTAAGGATTAGTAAACCTACCACAATAACCTAAACTGTGTGTCTGCAGAAATATCACCCAGTCTCTGGATAGGGGCAAACTGGTCCTTTGAAAGGGACTTTTCATGGTAGCCCCACGCAGGCGAATCTGCAGTGTCCCAGTCATCTGGGCTGCTGCAACAAAAATATCATGAACTGGGTGGTTTGAATAACAAACCCTTACTTGCCACAGGTCTGGAGCCTGGTGAGTCCAAGATCAAGCCTCCAGCAGATTCAGTGTCTGGTAAGGGTCTGCCTCCTGGTTCATAGATGATCCGATTCATAGTCTTCTCACTGTGTCCTCACAAGGGTAATGGCTTCTCTGGGACCTATTTTATAAGTGCACTAATCCTATGAGGGCAGAGCCTTTGTGACCTAATCATCTCCCAAAGGCCGCATCTCCTAATACCAACAGGTTGGGAATTAGGATTTCAATGTAAGAATTTTGGGGTGCAGACACAGACATTTAGTTTATAACATGCAGTTTGTCTAAGAAGTGGCCTGGCCTGAGTCTTGGAGATTCTGATTCAGTAGGTCTGAAATAGGGTTCAGGGTTCTTTTTCCAAACAAGTGATTTTTTTTTTTTTTTTTTTTTTTTTTTTTTTATGAGCCAGGTTTGGGAGCCACAGATCTGGTATAAAGTTGATATTGGCTCTATGTAATATAGAACAATGGAGTGGAGCAACAGTTTGGTCTGGCTAAGATGATGAAGGGGCACCCGTTACACCTTCCTTTATGCAGCTATATTAGTTGAGGAAGGCTAGGCTATGCTGCGGTAACACATTACACACCCCCCTTTGCTCCCACCCCGCCCACCAAAACTCAGTGGTTTAATATTTTGTGGTCTGTGGCTTTCTCCTGCAGACTCCAGAGCTACTGTTCTGGATGAGCAGCTTTCCTCCAGGCAATGCCACGGGCATCCTGGTAACTTTTGTCCAGTCACACTGTGTCCCCTAGGGCCTCCTCAGAGTTGCCTCCAGAGTCAGCTGAAGAGAGAGCGTATCCATCTTTGTGGGGTGTTTTAGCGGCCAGGCATAGCACTGTCCAGCCCTCCAGCCCATAGGCTATTGGGTAGAACCAGTCCCTTGGTCCCTCCTAGACATGAGGGGACCGGGAAAGGTAGCTCTCCTGTGTGCTCAGGAGGCAAGAGAAATAGTTGGTGAACACCCACATGGCATTGGCTCTACAATTGTAACCCATAGTGCACTGCCTGATGCAATTTTTTGCAGGTCACCAGTGTTTTTCCACTTGAGTCTGCCTGATACTACAAGCCACTTCATACTCAGGATCATTTACCTCTCTGCAACCCTGGTTCAGCTTAGCATGAGGAAGAACCAGTTTGGTTGAACTAAGTCACACTGAGGTATAATTGCATAACAGACCCCCTAATTGTCCCAGAAATCATTTTTATCTTAAAGTAGGAGTCTCATCCCAGGGATAGCTTAGCTTTTGTCTTTTCTTTACCATAGATTCTCTAAAAATTTAACAGTTTTACAATGCTTCTTGCATTATTGGCAGCAGGGGTTTTCAGGGGCAGAGTAGGGTAGGCATCCTGTAGGAGTAGATGATTCTAAGTATGGTGCTTGTGAGTTGGGGACTTTCTGGACAGTCTAAAAATATAAGCAGACTAGGTATGAATCCTAAGAAGAGCACCCTCAAGGGCAGAGGTAGTTTGCTCCTATGGTAGCACAAATCCTAAATACTCAATGTGAACAAATAAATTAAACAATATTATTACCTATAATTGCACAGACTGGTGTTTCTCAAAGGATGATTTCCAGACTAGAAGCATTTGCATTATCTGGAATTTTTTTTTTAAGTGAATTGTTAGGCTGTATCCCAGACCTACAGATTTAGAAATTCTGGTGCAGCAATCTATGTTTCAGGACAAACTGTTAGATTTAAATTTTAGATAAAACTTTGCAGCCCACCAGGTGATTCTGATGCATACCAATGTTTGAGAATCACTGGGATAGATTTTACCTGCTGATTATCATTTTATCAAAATCTAAGTAATTAGGGAACCTCAGTGGGAGTTTTTTTCTTTTTTTTTCTTGTGGGAGAAGGAAATGCACATAAGCCTTTCAGGACACTTGTTATATACGCTTCTGTCGTTTTAGGTTAAATGGCTGCTGCTTTTGTGTGTCTGTCTATAATACTCTGTAACGAGAATCAGTATCTTGAAAGATAAAGGCAATTCAAAGATTAACAATTATTTTTGTATATACTACATAATAAAGCCAAAGAAATACACTAACAAATTTTAAAAACATTTAAAACCAATGGTTGATTCAATGCCTTTGTAGTTTTCCTCTTGGTTTTACTGATCACTTTTGGTAACTTTCCTCTTTTTCTATTCAAGGTTCTGGGTGGGGTAATTTTTAGGGGCTTGAAATATATAATCTTGATATTGGAAACATTTCCAATTCTCCTCTTCCCTGCCACATAACATGCTGTCTTAGTGAACACTTCTAAACAAATTTGAACCCACGAAGACCCAAGGGCATCATTATGGACCTCAGTTGTTATGAATTCTGGATAGAGCAGATGAGGCTCGAGAAGAGTGGGCACAATTCTGCAAGGGCTCTGGGACTTGTTTTCTGACAAAAGTCCCTGATGTCAGCAAAGTTTGTCTCTTTTTCATTCAAGAGGTAGAAGCAGGTTCCCCCGAGTACTATGTACCTCCTAGCCCTTGTGCAAACATCAATTAATGAATCAAATCCCCAAATAAACCCTTTCCAGAGTGGTCCTCTGGCATATCAGAAAACTGTTATCGGCTCCCCGAAATTCTTGATAGTTTACTGACCTTGGCTGTTTGTACTGGCCACAATTAAAGTTGCCAGATAAAATACAACACCCTCAATGAAATTTAAATTTCAGATAAACAATAACATTTAAGGATAAGTGTGTTCCATAACTAAAAGTATGTAATATTTTATTAAGTTGAATTTAGAATTAAGAATGAACATTTGAATTTCAGATAACAGATAATTATACTCATTATAAGTATGTTCCATATTACATAATAGTTACAGGACATACTAACTTTATCTAAAATTTAATTGTGTTTCCTGAAGTTTTACTTGTTAATTAGTTCTTATTAGCCACAACTCATGTGACTATGGCAAAGGGATATTTGGAGGCTACTCAGATGTCCAGAGCTTCTTAATCCCTAGACGTAGCCACTAGTCAGCAAAGGCATTTTGCCTTTGGTCTCTGTTTATAAAACCATCATTACTTTATAATTGCCACTCCACTTTTGGATGTCCTCTCCTTTCTCCTCTGTTGGTGTTTGTCTTCCTGGTCTCTGTCCTGTTTGCAGAGAGAAAGGCTTTCCTGTTAGAAACAGCACCAGCCAATCTGAGTTCTTCTCTTTTGTTTTATTTATTTATTTATTTATTTATTTTGAGACAGTCTGGCTCTGTTGCCCAGGCTGAAGTGCAGTGGCGCCATCTCAGCTCATTGCAAGCTCCGCCTCCTGGATTCACGCCATTCTCCTGCCTCAGCCTCCCGAGTAGCTGGGACTACAGGCACCCGCCAGCATACCCAGCTAATTGTTTGTATTTTTTTTAGTAGAGACGGGGTTTCACCATGTTAGCCAGGATGGTCTCGATCTCCTGACCTCGTGATCCGCCCGCCTTGGCCTCTCAAAGTGCTGGGATTACAGGCGTGAGCCACCGCGCCCGGCCCTGAGTTCTTCTCTTTAACAAACTGGTCTCTTTCTGACGACTACGTAAATCTTTCCTTTTGGAGCTAGATGATATTTGGATATGTGTGGGTAAAAAACAACAACAATAACAACAAAACTGACATTTTCGAAAGCTTAGCTACCTGCAGTCCTCTTCTATGGTTTTTTGTATTTGGTGAATAATAGAACCTTTTTAGTTCTCAGAGTTCTTTGTGTAGGTAAGGGTGGCCCATCTAATTACCAACAATTAGATGAACAAGAACACCTGACCCTCGCCAGCTCAGGTTCTAATGAGAAACCAGTGCAGATAGTGTCAGATACAACAGGGCTCACTCAGCCATTTGTATGAAAATAACAGAAACCTAGTAGCAGCCATGTAAAGTCATTTTGTTCTTTCTGTCCTAGATTCCAGTTGCTGCTTCTCTCTAGAGACCTTTTATGCTTGTTTAGTTCTCTATGAAGTCAACAGGAACATCGGATACCAAGGAAGCCTGTAAGAGTGAGAGACTCTGACCCAATTTAAATGTCCTCACAGAGTTCAGTTACTCAAAAGAATTCAAGCCTTAAAAGCACAGAGCCTTGAAGTTACTAGAGCTTTACCCAAATGCTCCATAGGTTCCTGGATTGCAGAATATTGCTGAAATCTTGGTTTTGCCCTTCCTCCCTCCTCTCTTTCACATTTTATTTGGGTGACGTTCTGCTTGGGAATGACCAGCTGTCACTGCCAGTAGCTACTGGGATTACATTGCAGCATGGGCAGGGTGTTTTCGTTTTGTTTTTTAAAATGCCAATGGATATTTACTGGAGCTACTGTAGGGATTGGCAGTTTCATTTCTGTTTTCTGTGGAGGGGTTTTGGGTATAATAGTTGGATTAGAAACACTAAGAAAATCAAATTTAAACTCTCAATCTATTGATGGTACCAAGCACTAACCATTTGACATTAACTGGAAGGAGATACCATCTTAATCAGAGGCTAAAATGCTCCCTTTGCTCTAGATCATAGCTTATGAAGAGCAGAGTTTGAAGACAGAGACAGTCAGGTGGTGTCAGTTTCTGTCATTCTCACTTGGATTCCTGTGCAGTATCTTCACACTGTTTATTTTTAAAGAATTTTCAATCTGATGATACTGAAATTACTTCAGATCTTCTCTAATCTCATCCACCCTTCAGACTGTGTTTAGTTCCCCTGATATGTACTTTCATAGGTTCGCGAAATTGTAATGAACATATTGGGGTGGGAGTTCTGGAGGGCAGAGATGATGTCCATTTTCTTGACCCCGAAATTGTCAGTGCCCAACACTGACCTCGGACACAGTAGGTGCTCACCAGATAGATGAATGAATTAGATTCTAGGGCAACGTAATCCATGCGGTGTAATCCACAAATCACTCTTATGGCAATACATTACAAGTAATTTTTAAGCCTGATAGAGTTTTCTGAAGGTCTAGGAGGGGCATACGTAAGTTACCTATGTGTTGGGTTATGTGAAGGGACCATTTTCTACTCCTGCCCCCCAGCATACTTCTGTCATCTTTACCCACTGAGTGTCAACATGGAATATGAAGAAAGACTTTGCAAGTAAGATGTTAGGAAAATAAATTTCATGTGCTAAAACAGATATTGGCAAACATTTTTGATAAGGGCCTAGAGAGTAGATATTTCAATCTTTCTAGAAATACGGTCTTTGTCACAACTAATCAACTACCGCTCTTGTAGCACAAAAGCTGCCACAGACAATACACAAAGGAATGAGAATGGCTGTGTTCCAATTAAACTTCATTTATGGACACCAAAATGTAAATTTCATACAACTTTCCCATATCATGAAATTCTGTTCTTTTAAAACGTTTTCTCCCCAAACACTTACCAGTGTAAAAAAATTCTTAACTCACTGGCTATACAAAAGCAGGTAGTGGATCTGATTTGAACCACTTGGCAGAGTTTCACAACCTTGCACTTAAAAAAAAAAAAAAAAAGAAAAGAAAACAACAATAATAACAACAACAAAAAAAACACTAATAACAAAGCCAAAGCTTTGGTGAGGAAAGGGGGCACTTTCATTTTATCAGCCTTATAGCTTTCCTGAGCACTGAAATGAGGGACATAGAGCCTTTTCTTAGTGGCTTATTTTTACACCATTTTGTGTTTTTCTGTATGTTTGCCTACCTGCATATGTGCGTATATGGTAGAAGTAGACCAAGTTTTCAAGTTACGTGTGACATATTTTCATAGCAATTTGGAATGATCAAAGGAAATTGTAGAAAATACAGTATGGTCCCAGTTATTTTTTTAAAGAAAACACATTATACTACAAAAATGATGTACTTTATATATGCTTGTAAAAGGTTCTGAAAGGTATTTACTAAATGTTAACAGTGGTTACCTGTGAAAATTGGGAGTGTCATTTTTGAAGCAGGGGAGATATTGATCTTTTTCTGACTTATTTGACAATTTTAAATGAGAATGATTCTTGCTCAGATAATTTCACTATTTGTGAAATTAAAATTAATTAGTAATGTATTGAACTAAAAAAAAGATATTTATTGAAAGAAAACACTGAGCCTGCTTCTGTGAATCTACAAAAAATCTGTGATTTTAATGACATTGTAATTTTTTCATATTGACCCTTAGTGAAATACAGCTTTTGGAAAATCCCTTCTCTATGAGAGCATTGCTAAATAAGGAAGTGTTTAGGTTTTGTAGGAGTAAAAATAGCTTCTCCAGGGATGTTGATATTTAAAATAATGCAAATGTACAATAAAATCCCACAATCTAAACTCTGGATTCAGCCCATATACCCAGAGTTTTAGAATACATTTCTGACTAAAACACAAAAGACCTTGAAAGCAGGTGCTGTCTTTGTCCCCTGATACCAATGTGTTTTAATAAGGTTCCACCAGATTTTCAAAGTCTTTGGTTAAATTGGAACTGACATTTATGCTAATTAGCTGGGTTTGGGAGTGAAACAGGTAAAATTGAATTACAATGGGCTCCAAACTATATTTATTTTTAAAATAGTGGCTCTGAGGGATATTTGGTTCTATTTGTCAGTTATTTCATATCTCGCTACTTTCTATCATTCCCTTCCCGCCTGGTGTGTTAATCTGGTAATCTGAAATCTTTTTGTCTGCCTGTAACATAATAGGCTGTTTTCCTGTAGTCCATCTGTCTCCTACACGAGGTGAAAGTACTTTTCAGAAATGGCTTGGGTTGATATTATTAATCTTTATAAGCAGAGAATTCCTTGAATAATTTAACAGCCAAATGGCATGAGGGGGACTTGGTATAAAAATGAATTTTCCTGTCAGCTTTAAAAATTACAGCGTGGCCTGCCTTTTATCTGTGCAACTCAAATATCAAAACAATGGATGTTTATGCTCTTTATACAGTTTTCTGTTTTGCATTACCTAAGACCTAAGACGATGAAGAAACATTTAGACAATTTTGGTTTACTTTTTTTTTTCTGCTAGAAAACCGCAATAAGTTAATTAGCCAAAAGAAAGTCCTTCTTGTTCTCTGAAACAACAGATGCTGCCTTTGACCTTGGAATTTAAGGGAAAATCTATTTTTGATTACATGTCTTGAATTTCTTGGATTTGCCAGTGTTAGGGCAGCAGTTGTGATTGAGTGCTTTTGAAAGTATATGCATGATTTTCAAAGAAATCAGTCTGCACAGCTGTTGCTAAAGAAATCGTTGTTCTCCGTCCTTCCAGTTCATTACTATATAAGGTTTTAAAAATTATTTTTTCCCCCTACTTTTAATTGGAGTTATCCTAGTTACAGATGTCACAGCCTCTGAGCTACTGGTCTTCCACCCGACACCCTGCTTCGTTGCAAAGGCCTAAGGTTGGAGTATGCTGCATTTGATTGGCAGGGTAACATTGTTCCTCTATGCTGGGATGGGGAAATACAGCCAGTCCTGTGTTTAGGCAAGCCAGCAGGAGTGGGACTATTAATAGCCAACTATGTGTTTTCTCTCAGACACAGCCTCTTTACAGTGCTCTTTGCTTGCCTATCTTTTGGAAAGTCATGTGAATGCAGCAAAAGCTTTCTAAGAAATATGAGGGCCAAATGGCATTACTCTGCGTGAAGTATGCCCACATGGGATTATTAGTATTTTGTTAGAAGACCATTTAGCAAGTTTGTTTGTTTCTGAATCAAAATCCATAGATGCTCATTGAACATTTTTTGTTTTTTTCCATAAATCATGTATTTGAGAAAGACATCTTGATGATGGGAAACTCTTACCTTGGAGAAACAAAGAATCAAGTAGTGACTTTATCCTCTAGATAGTACTGAAATCAGAAGTACTTTTTCCCTTTAAGTGTCATAAAACACAATTACATTTCTTTCCACATATTTTCAACCTGAGCAAATTGACAGACCAGGTCAGCTTTTTTCCTGGGTCATTTTCCTGTGTATTTTCTTTTTATCTTCTGGATGTAATCTTTTATTTGTAGACCATTTTAGTGAAGCCCCTAGTAACAATTTATTTAATTTTATTAGTCAATTTATAGGCAGAGGGCAAGACACATTAGAATATCATCATGGGTACTAAATTAGAAAATTTAAATCAAAATGTCTATGTTCTTTGAGCTATGCCTGCTAATTAAAGAAGAGGTAAACTGCTGAAATATAATAGGCCAACGTGGAAGGGTCCAGAAGAACCATGGAGGACCCCCTTTCCTCTGGCTTGATCAATTATAAGAGAGCAAATGGAAGAGGCTATACAACTTTCTCCAGAAATGGGTTATTTTGCAGGCATGAGCAGTCAGGTGCATATTGAATAGCCACAGATTAAACTCTCCTCTCCTACGCTTTCGGGGTCATCCTTCAAGATGCTTTTAGCTAACCTCCAAGATTGGGTGAGGGCTGATGCTCTAAATTTCAGTGTTTAGAGACTGACCCTTCCTGTAAGGAGGTACTTAAGACATCCTGTCTTCTCAGATGAATGCTTCTGGAAGGCAACATTGGAATATCTATTAGAATGATTTGATATACAACAAGGTTATGACCTTTTGGAGAATACCTCAGTCTCTTCAGGGCATTTTCCTTCTTAATTTCTGGTACCTTAAAAAGGTCTCGTTCCTTTTGGTTGAATGCCTTGAGAAACGTAAGGCTATAAAGGAATTTTAACAAACTTGATTCTCTAATCAACTGCTCATAAATCCATTTTATTGCTTCAATTATGCAAAATAAATGTTTAAAATTTGTCTGTCGGGTCAGCCAGTTACCCGGTCAACTAACCTCCTAGCCAACCTGCTAACCTCAATGAATATGTTGCTCTGAAACTCTTTTTTTTTCCCCCAAATCTTCCCAAAGCTATTAAAAAATACCAAGGAAGGATGGTTAAGGCATGTTTTATTAGCCGTAGTAGTTAAACTTGTTAATTTATCAGTAAGGGGAAAAACACTCTTTGTAATTTTAACTTGTCTTCATGCTAAATTCCTTCCAGACTGTGGTTAGAACTTAACTGCAGAATTTTTGCCCAACAATATAAACATTTTCTATAAAACTATGGAAAGTTGCCCATTCTGGAAAAAATCTAAAGTACAAAGGATAAAGCGTTTCTCAAGATAGAATTTCATTTCTGGTGTTTTTGCATGTAATTTTAAATTTTATTTTATATTTTATTTTGAGACAGAGTCTTCCTCTGTCACCCAGGCTAGAGTACAGTAGCAGGATCAAAGCTCACGGCAGCTTCGAAATCCCGGGCTCCAGAAATCTTCCCATTTTAGCGTCCCAAGTAAATAGGACTATAGGTGCAATCATCTTTCCCAGCTACATTTTTTTTATTTATGTATTTTAAGTTTTATGTAGACAGGGTCTTGCTATTTTGACCAGGCTGGTTTTGAACTCCTGGCCTCAAGTGATCCTCCCACCTTAGCCTCTCAAAGCACTGGGATTACAGGTATGAGCCACCATGCTGGCCGGCATGTAATTTTTAATACTAAGTCTAGGATAAATTTTCTTTTGCACTCATTGGGATATGTGTTGATACATTGTTAATCTTTGGAATCCCACTGGAATGAAATGTGTTTCATTAGTGCTTAAACTAAGATGTGTTAATTTGAGAGTTTATAAAAGGAGGTTTAAGCCTAGTGCATTTTCAAAGTTGCTTTTTTTCAATTAAAAAAATTTTGATATCTTGGCAAAAGGATAAAATCGATAGACCATGTAAAGAACTGCATTCAGTTTTAAAATAATTAGGTTTTGAAGATTTATTCTACTGTCTTTTATGAGTAAGAACATGTCTAGGGGTTTTAGGAGGATAGGTTTAAACAGGTTTACAATATTTCCTTATAAGAGCTAGATTATGTATACAATAAGAATTAACTTAAGAAATTTTGCTTTGAATTTCTCCAAGATTTTCTAGGGCCAACCAAGCTTATTCTCTTTAAACAGAAATTTAAGACCATTAGTAAATAAAAACCTTAATATGTTTTGGAAAATGATTACTTGGACTCAGTATTTTTTTGTGGTGTATATGCTTTGGCTTGTGTTTAAATTATGTTACGCCTGTGTTTTGATCAGGCATTAAATAATTGAAACACTCATGTTAAATAATTATGCAACTGTCTGATTTAGAAGGCTGGAAAGCAGCAGCAAACCTGTTTCCAGAGACATTTCAATCTATAGGCCAGGTTCAGGCTAAACTATATAGTATGACTCTCCTTCTTTCTACACTGAGGTATAGAAGCAGCATAGGGTTGGGGTGGAGACAGACCTAGTACAAATCTAAGCCTCTTGTTTATGAGCTATTTAACTTCATGTAAGTTATTTGAGCCCCCTGAGCTTTAAGAATTAGATGCTTTCTAAATGTCAAGCACTATAGTAGTAATAAGCACACACGTTTCCTTTCCTTAGGATGGTTACTGTCCCATGGGAAAGGTAGACACATGGGCACAATTTCAATATATTCTCAAGTTCCAAGAAGCATACTCAAAGTGCCATGGAATAGGAACACGCTGCCTAGCAGCTCACTCCTTTTGGGCACACATTTGTCTGATACAACTACGTGCTAGGACCTGGATACCAATGTGAACAGAAAAACACAATCCTAACCCCTCTATTGTCTTATAACCTAAATAACAAAGTGATGACTGTAAACTAGAAAGTCTGGGGCCTAACTTATAGGGTTCGTAAGGGTGAAAAGAGCTTTCTTTCCCTTTCTTGTCATCTTCATTCTGTTCACTCACGCTCTGTCCAGATTCCCAGTCTCCCATTTGCCTAAGCGGGCAAAGAGGTAGTTGTTTCTCTTGGTTAACAGTTCTATATAATGAATCCCTTTACAGATGAGTGACTGAATACTTCTTCCTAAGAATAGTTGCATTATTACCGAAGACTTTTGGTGGCACCAAGACCATAGTACATGTCTCTCCATTTGGCAGCATTTCAGCCATTGAGCAGTCCTCCATGGATAGCTGGAGTGTCTCTCCCACATCCCACTATCATGGTGCTTGGCTGCTATCCAGATGCCTGTGATGAGTGATGGAGTCCCTGGTGCTTCCTGGAGAGAACAACAAATGGTAGTCTTGCACCACCTTGATTGTTAATATACTTGGTCTGTGGACTTCCCATGCTCAAACCTAAACCAAAGAACCTGGCCTGACCCGGAACAACTGCTTTGTTACAGGTGAAAGTCCTTGTTATTACTTTGGTAGTTAATCATCTTCCCCTGGGCCTTAAACTCCAGGTCATTCTCTGGAGAAGAAATTTAGGACCTGTGATATTATCCTATTTAAGTACTTTTCAGATACGATCTTTTAATTATAAAAGATATATAATTATATATTTTATATGATATATATCATATAATTATATATTTTATATGATATATATCATATAATTATATATTTTATATGATATATATCATATAATTATATATTTTATATGATATATATCATATAATTGTGTAATTATAAAATGTAATCGCTTGTATATAGTTCTTAGTTCCTTAGGCAAATCAAGTAAATAGTAGTTGCATGGGTAAATATAAAATACGCAAATACTCCTTATAGTAATATAAGAACTATCATTCAGGCAGGAGGACACAAAAGATCAATGTATGAACCATTCCTATATATTTTTTCCTTTTGAAGCACAGGTAGGAGCAAATCATTTCCCTTCTCCACAAAGCTCAGTGGCTTCTTACTGCACTCAGAATAGCCTAGTTTATAGGCCTCTGTGAGCTGCCTTTCTTCCCCTTTTCATCCAAAGTGTTTTTAAATCCCTTTAGATACTCTTTGCTCCAGCTTGCCTGGGCTATTAACTGTTCTCCCGAAGACCATACTTTATGTCTGCAGGCCTTTGCTCATACTGTTTGGTCAGCAGGGAATAAATTTTACTCCTTATTCATTTATAAAATCCTACCGATCCTCCAAGGCTGAGCTCAAATGCCTCCTCTTTCATGAAACCTTCTATATCCCTACTAATCAGAATCAATTATTTCTTTCTCTCTATTCCTCCTTGTTGGCCTATTGTGTGTACCTTTATTGCCTGTATAGGCTTTTCTCATTTCTGCTTGTATCTAGGTAATTCACTCATCTATCCATACATTCATTCAACGATTATTTCTTGAAAGCTTTATCTTGTACTGTGCAAGAAGATGGGAATGTAATGGGAAGCAGAAAATGGATGCTGCCTGTGCTCTGGGAGCTTACAGTCTTCTGGCAGAGATGGGTGATAAGGTGATAAGCACCAAACCCACAAAGCTAAAACTGCAGCTATGGGAAGAGCGGGGAAGACAGATTTATGGGTCTCTGTCTCTAGGCTGTAAACTCCTTGACGCCAGTGAGAGCCTCTTTCTTGGTTAAGAAGGCAGTAGTATAAAACAACTGTGAAATGCCCTGTGTCATGAGTTTGTATCTCCCCGAATATATGAGGAAGTCCTAATACCCAGTACCTGTGAATATGACTTTATTTGGAAATAGGGTCTCTGCAGATGTAATGAAGTTAAGATGGGATCATACTTGATTAGAGTAGGTCCTAATCCAGTTTGACTGGTGTTCAATAAGAAGAGGAGAAAAGACAGACACAGACACAGTGGGGAATGCCACGTGAAGATGGGAGCAGAGATGGGAGGGATGAGTTTGTAAGCCAGGGAATGTCAAGAAATGTTGGTAACCACAAGAAGTTAGGAAGGAGGCATGGAACTGTTTCTTCTTCAGAACTTCCAGAAAGAACCAACTCCCAATGACACCTTGACACCTGGATTTCAGACTCCTCACTTCCAGAACTGTGAGAGAATGCATTTCTGTTATTTTAGGCCGCCCAGTTTGTGGTAGTTTATTATGGCAGCTCCGGGCAACTAATACACCCTTCTGGAGAGAAGTTCATGAGAACTAATTTAATGCACAACACCATGGTGCACTAATGTGTGGGTCAATGATTGAATTTGGATGAAAGAATGAATAGAGTATTGTGTTTGCTCTCTTCAGTGGTAAGAGATCAGGGTGAGTTCAGGATATTTGTTCCATTTCAGTTGTCTATTAACAGGAAAAAATGTGGATTCACAGTTCACGTCATCATCAGTTGAGAAGGCTGGCTGAATAATGGCCCGTGTGGTTGTCTTTAGAAATAAAGCTGTGTTTTTGTCACTGTGGCCAAGGGGGATATAAATAAGCTAGTCACTAAATGTTAAAATGGTGGCAACTCTTCCCTTTCTGCTTTCAAAGCAGAATCTTAGTCCTCACATCTCCTACCCCTGCTTCCTCAGGCAATTCGTGTTTTTCCCTCTGGTTGAAAGGCTCACTTCAGGATAAAGCAGGAGGGGGGGTTTGTGGTTGTTGTTACTAATGACTTTTAGATCTTGTGTTGCATTTTATATTTTCAGAACATTTTACAGTTGTTGATTGAGTTCCCTAGCACTCAGGAATTTGTGATATTAAAATGCTTTTTGTTTGCAAAGGACAAAGATGTTCAGTGATACTTGAAAGCTACACTAATCAGATATTCATGAGTATGGGGTGCGGCCTGACCTCCCTTCTGCCTCCTGAATCCTTCTCCTCACTCTAGATTCAGGACAGTGCCACCTCTATAAATGATCCCCTCAAGCCTCATAACTCTCTATCGTTTTATTGTGTTTTATTATTTATTTATTTATTGTTTGTGTGGGTTTTCCCTAGTAGATTATGAGGTTTTGGAGGACAGGTAACCACACTCACCCAGCAGGCATGCAGGAACTATCTCTTGAATGAACAAGCGAATTAATGAGTGAATGAAATTACTAGAACTGACTTAGGCCAGGAATTTCTCATCTTTTAGCAGCTACTTCCCATTTTATACATCCAAGATCATATCCGTGAAACCACAGTGAGTCTTTAGACAAATTACAGAGAGGCAGAAATGGGATGGCAACATCAACTTGGAGAACCTCTGGATCAGCCATAGGCTCTACATGGATCTTCTGGTCTCGCTGTCATGGAGGATTGAGTCATATTTTCAAGGCTGTCCTCTTGAGACCACTGCTCAGAGGTGCCAGTCAAAGGTCTCAGGGTCATAGGCAGAGGGGGAAGGCCAGATAGGCCACTGTGGCTCTGAGTATAGAGGGATAAGGCTAAAGTAGAGGTTCTCATAATCCAGAAATCGTCTCTGATGCTGGAAGTCTTCAGCTGCACTAAGAGATGTGGTTGTAAAGGGACTCCAGCAACAGAAAGCATAGCCATCCTCACCTCTTGAGAATGAGCTTTGTTTTGCTTATGTTATTTTACTTTTCATCTATATATCTGCGTGCTTATGAACATCCTGTAATATGGCACCAAGTATTAAACATTTATGGAGCAACTGAAATATTCAGGATAGAATGTTTAAATTAGCGCTGGTCTCTGCCTTCCTTCCTGCCTGTGTGTTTCTCTGTTTTGTACCCTAGCCCATTCCGGCAACGACTATAGAGCATCACACTTATCAGATGATGTCATACCGTGCCCGGATGAAAGCTAGTTCTCAAGGCACTCAGATCATGGCACAAAACAAAGAGGAAAGATGTGTCTTTAAGTCATTCATTTAGCACTATAACTGCATTTTCAGAGGGAACTTCTATCCATGTTTATTCTCAAGATTGAAGGACTCAGTGCAGCTCTCGTGGTGACAGATTGGCTCTTCTTGTGTGTTTTTTCTCTTGCTGTTTAGACGTAAGGACCCCTTTTCTCCCACCTCAACATGGCTACATGTTTGTTATTTCATGATAATTTTTAAAAAAATCATAAGTGAACCTTCACACTGTTAGAATTATTTAATTGTAAGTGAATATCTTATTAGAATTATTTTTACCTGCAAGACTACTCTTTTATGTAACAACTGTCTAATGACAAAAGTGGTAATTATATACTTTGCTACCTACAAATGATAGGAAAACAGAGTAAGCTATTTCTGGGGCCCTCTCTGCCACTCATTCTGTGAGGCCTCCATCACATCACCTGACCCCTCACATCCACAGCTTTCCTAATCTTTAACATGAACAGGTTGAAGTTGAGGATCCCTAATTTCCCTTCCAGATCCACTGTTCTGTGATTCTAGGTATGTGTAACCCAGCTATTTAAAAAAAAAGAAAGAAAGAAAGAAAGAAAGAAAGAAAGCTAAATGTTGGTAGAGAGTATCACAAAAAAATAACAAAGATACACTTTAAAAAATTGGTCAAGCTGCAATCCTTAGAGGCAATATTCCTGGTTTTGAGTTTATAAACTACCTGCTGGTAAAATCTCTTCAGTAGTTTCTACACATTTGCATTCTTCCTTCGTTTTCAAAACACTGTCTCGGTGACTGCAAAGTGATTCCCCTGATGTATAATCTCTTATTCGGCGTAGCACCCTGGGAGGATGCGAGATCCACGTGGAGAAGTTAAGCACACACAGATCTGCAAGGTCAGAAGTACATTAAATGGCACGCTGTGGTCCAAGACTTTCATCTTTAAGCATCAGTAATTGCCATGAATACTCAAGGAGGTGCCCTGTGTGAGAGCTGCTGGATTTGAGCCATAAGCCATAGTTCAGGAATATGAATCTTGTGAAAGCCAAAGTAGTAATATTGTCAGAGACACACAGGTAAGGCCATGAATGAATAAACTGGACATCGTGACATTCCAGCTGAAAAAAGAGCAATTTATTAAGTTTCAGCACCATAGATGAAGGAAACTGGTAAATTTACTGGATGTATTTTAGGAACTTAAAAATTGATGATGAAACAGGAAAGAGACCCCAGCTAAAAGAAAACTTCTGGCACAAACAATTCAAAGCACCCAGTTAAATAGATCTTCTGACCCATTGGATACCCACCAAGAACAAGGCAATTTGGGCACATCCAAAGTGGTTTGTGTGGGTAGTCGTTAAAACCTGAGTATTACTTCAATTATCTGAGACCTAACGGAGGGCAGTTATTCTAAATAGTCAGGCTACCACCCTCTAGATGCAACTGTTTTTTTTAAGTTTGAAAACGGAAATATTTAAAATAATATACTACATATAGTTACATAGAACTATTTTCATATAAAAATAATATTTTTCTGATAATTTTGGAAGAATTAGAAAAACACAGAGCTCGCAAATGGATCATCTCACTATCCAGAGATAACTTTTATTAATCTTTTGATGTATTTCCTTCCAGTCCCCCCATATTTTAAACTTATTATATATTCATTTGTGGACATATTTTTAAAATCAGATATGCCAGTCTAGCCCTTTTTTTTTTTTTTTTTTTTTTTTTTTTAATCTGGAGCTGCCGTTAGGGACAGCTGAGGAAGTGCAGAGCAATGCCACAAAATGTCTCCCCTCCCTTTTTTTCTCCACAGCCCAGATGGCTAAGATTTGTGGTGGGTGGGCAGGCGCACCCGCCCCCAACCCCCGAAGTCACATGTACTCTTGGTGGCTTTGGCACTTCCTGACCTTGCGTGTATGTTTGCTGCTGGAATCCTTCACACTCTTGCCAATGCGGCTATAAAAATCTAGGTGGCTGAGTTTTTGCTTATCTGAATTACAGGAAAGTTGATGATGAAAGAGGGAAATATTAATGATGGGTTTTGTTCTCTAAATTCCTTTGTAAAGAAAGGATGTGATTTGTTCTATTCTTCCACTCACATAACTTGTTAAAATAATGGGAAAGCCAGGAAAAAAGTGTTTGGAGAATGATGGTGAATACTTTTGGGTTAGTTGGGCTCAGGTGACATGCTTGTTTTCTGGGGGAAGGTTCTCAATACTAAGAGATTACTTCCAGGTGGCAACCCAATGTAGAAAAATCAGCGTGTGCTCTGGAATCAGACAAACCCAGATCTGAATTCTGGTTTTTCTTCCCTCTTTTGTGTCATCTTAAGCAAGTTACTTAGTTTCCGTGAGCATCAGTTTCTTCATCTATGTACTACAAGTGATGGATGCATACTTCTCAAATGTTTAGGGAGCTTAAATGGAAATATACTTGGAGTTCCTAGCACACAGTAGGTGCTTACTCGTGAGCTTGTTCCTTCTGCATTTCCCAGCTGTTTCTGGAAAGTGTGCTGTCATCAGCAAGTGAGTGAATAATAATTGTATGCTAATATTTACCCACACAAATACTTCGCGCAAAACTATTCGTATAATGTTAATCAGTGAAAAAGGTTCTCATCATGTATTATGAGTTGAATTTTCTTTCCCGTCTATTAACAAACTTTGAATGGGAAAGCTACTGAATTGAATTTTTTTTCTCTCTCTCTCTCTGCTATACTGTGGGGACATGCTTTTATATTTGCAAATAAAGCTCACATATATCTTTTTATTACATTCTCACCATCCCACCAGAATTTTAATGAGTAGGAGCGGTGAGTGGAGATTGAGATTCAGGGGCCACTTGTGTTTGAGCTGACAAGATATACACATTTGGGGAAACAGAACATGATCTGAATTAACTGGGAAGCACATGTTTCATAAGTGCTTGATATATTCCTGAAAGAAAATTAAAAAGTAAATATTTTTGCTTGTTGCAGCCATTCTAAAGAGTGTGCTATCAGCTTTCTTTTTGTTTGTTTGTTTGTTTTTTAACTCTGCTTATCAACATGTAAGGTGAGGGACTAGTAGACTTTGTATTATAATGCTTGAAAAGAAAAGCTTTATTTAAATATCAAATATGAACATGTAACAAGAGATTGCTTAACAACTGTGTAGAATAGGAAAAAGAATTGGAAAATTTTCATACAAAAAGTAAAAGAAATTGAGGGGAGGGAAACAAATGAATCCAAACTCTTATTTTCTTTTCTCTGTTAACTTTCAGGAAGGCCAAAATGAGATTTAATGTACTGTATGAAGTATCTTGTAGCTTTGCTGTTTTGTTCATTTGCTTACCCTTTTATCTCTCTTAAATTTTAATTTCTAAATCTATAGCCCTACATTCATTAATTGATTTGGTTATCAAACATCTTTTCTGTGCTAGTTTTAGGAGAAAGAAAAATTTCCCCTAAAATTGTAAATTTTGATTTACAATTGTGACTGTAAATCTCATAATCTTGGTGGGTTGCAATCCTGTAAACAAAAATGATGGCTCAGCAGCTCTATAAGAGGCTGCATTAGATTCAGTATGAGCCCAGTCCCACTGTTTGTGGAGGGAGAAGATGCAGTCCAGACAAGTCCATAGCTTCAACTGTGAGTCATATAGTTTGCCAGGCAGAGAGCTATGGGAGGTATTACCAAAGAGGCAGTAGCATGTGTCTTTTATCATGGATCATTTCAATTTTTTAAAAAAGTAGGTATGTTATAAATAATAATGAAAAATGAGTAAAGAAGTAAAGGTGGTAACTAACATGGGAAGAAGTTAAGTAATAGGTAAGGAAGTGTGTGATTAAGAGCTCCAGTGAGTGGCTGTGATGATGGGATTTCAGAAAAAGGATTTCTTTGCAAAAGCAGAGAGGAAGAATAGCAGATGGTGAATGAGATAAAGTTTTTCTCCCCAAGAGGACAACTAGGAAGCAAAAATCCAGAGAAAGGAAAAGTCTGGGCTACTGGTGAAAGCTGGACTTCAAGAAAAATAGTTTAAGGATGTTTAAGTTTTTTAGTTTTTAGACACCCAGCTGCTTGTGTGACACCACATTGCAAAGTTATTATTTAGTAATATTTTGAATGAAAGGTCTCTCTTCATAAAACCCCCACCCTTTACAAACTATTAGTCTCAGAAACCCTTTACATTCTTAAAAGTTACTGAGGACTTCAAGAAGCTTTTGTTTATGTTAGTTATATCTACCAATGTTTATTGTAAGATCAGTAATTGGGAGTTTATTAAATATAATGAAGCATTTTTTTAAACTTTGATTTTGGTTCAGGGGTGCACGTGCAAGTTTGTTCTACAGATAAATTGCATGCTTCAGGGGTTTGGTGTACATATTATTTGTTCACCCAGATGGTAAGCATAGTACATGATAGATAGTTGTTTGATCCTCACCCTCCTCCCATCCTCCACTTTCCAGTAGGCCCTGTTGTCTGTTGTTCCCTTCTTTGTGTCCAGGTGTACTCAATGTTTAGCTCTCACTTATTAAGTGAGAATATACAGTATTTGGCTGTCTTTTCCTGTGTTATTTTACTTGGGATGATGACCTCCAGCTCCATCCATGTTGCTGCAAAAGACATGGTCTCATTCTTTCTCATGGATGCATAGTATTCCATGGTGTATATGTACCACATTTTTTTTTTCCAGTCTACCAATGATGGGCATTTAGGTTGATTCCATGTTTCTGTTACTGTGAATAGTGCTACAGTGATCATAACATGTGCATGTGTCTTTATGGTAGAATGATTTATATTCCTTTGGGTATATATGCTGTAATGGGATTGCTGGTTCAAAATGGTAGTTCTGTTTTTAAGTGCTTTGAGAAATCACCGAACTGCTTTCCATAGTGGCAAAATGAATTTACATTTCCACCAGCAGTGTATAAGCATTCCCTTTTCTTTACAGCCTTGTCAGCATCTGTTGTTTTTTGACTTTTTAATAACCATTCTAACTGGTGTGAGATGGTATTTCATTGTGGTTTTGGTTTGCATTTCTCTAATGATTAGTGATGTTGAGCATTTTTTCATATGCTTGTTGGATGCATGTATGTCTTCTTTTGAAAAGTGTTCATGTCCTTTGCCCACTTTTAAGTGGTGGTGTTTGTTTTTTGCTTGTTCAATTAAGCTCCCTATGGAGTCTGGATATTAGGCCTTTGTGAGATGCATAGTTTGCAAATATTTTGTCCCATTCCATAAGTTGTTTGCTTTCTTGAAAGTTTCTTCTGCTGTGCAGAAGCTCTTTGATTTAATTAGGTCCTATTTGTTAATTTTTGGTTTTGTTTGAATTGCTTTTGGCATCTTTGTCATAAAATCTTTGCCAGGGCCTATGTCTAGAATGGTATTTCCTGGGTTTTCTTCAAGGATTTTTATAGTTTTAAGTTTTACATTGAAATTTTTGATGCATTTTTGAGTTGATTTTTGTGTGTGGTGTAAGGAAGGGGTGCAGGATGGCTAACCAGTTATCTCAGCACCATTTATTGTATAGGGAATCCTTTCCCCATTGCTTGTTTTTGTCAGCTTCGTCAAAGATCAGGTGGTTGTAGGCGTGTGTCTTTATTTCTGGGTTCTCTGTTCTGTTTCATTCATCTATATGTCTGTTTTTGTACTAGTACCATGCTGTTTTGGTTACTATAGCACTGTAGTATAGTTTGAAGTCTGGTAATGTGATGCTTCTTGCTTGCTTCTTTTTCCTAGGATTGTTTTCACTACTCAGGCTCTTTTTTGGTTCCATATGAATTTTATAATAGTTTTTTCTAATTCTGTGAATAATGTCATTGGTAGTTCAATAGAAATAGCATTTAATCTGTAAATTGCTTGGGATAGGATGGCCAATTTAACAATATCGATTCTTCCAGTGATAGATTTTTCAAGTACAAGAATATATAAACATTTCATTAGCTGCAGAGTGATAACGTCATCTCGTGGCACATAGCCTCTGGAAAATTTCACTGTACAATTGTGAAGAATGAGAATGAAAAAGTCTTATAACATTATAGTATTATTATAAAGATGTCTTGACCTCATGGACCCCTGAAAGGGTCTCAGAGATCCTCAGAGGTCCCCAAACCACTTTGAGAACCATCCCAGACCATTGACAGGAGATGTTTATACTCAAGATTTGGGATGATTGTGCTGATTCTTTCATTTAGTCAACTGTCAGTTCTTTTTCCAGGATAAATAGGCTTATACGCAGTTTTGAAAATGAAGGCTGAATTTCACAAATCACTTGTGGTCTGGAATTGGTACTACTAGTGGTAAAAAAGTAAGAAAACTCAAAACAACAAAGAACGAAATTCAATAGTTTCTAATCTTTCAGTAACTATTTTGCACAGATTAGGTTAGACTTCTGAGTCAAATGAATGAAGAGAATGCATATTAATCATATATCACAAGGAACTTCTTGACCCCTTAGAGTAAGTGAACATGGAATGTGTGTGCAGTTTCTAAACATGGAAATATGTAAGAAGAGGCCTTCCCTTGAAGTCCTGGTTGACATGGATGAGGCTGGATGCAGGGTTTCTATTTGATGATCCTGAGCCTGGCATGACTTTCAGCTTTTGAGATTCTGCCCAGAGTGGTAGCACAGAATGGCAATTTTTGCCACCACCAGCCTGTTTTTACTACTCTCTCACCTCACCACCACCCATAAAATTTAATAGAAAAGAAATAAATAGAAAATAGGTTTTGGAAACGTATGTGAAGGACGATTTGGTATTAGGGCTGAGTGTTTTTAGACTAGCTACCTTTTTACTATCAACCTCTGGCCGTGGCCATGAATTTCTCGGTCTAAATCTTTTTTCTGAAGATGCACAGTAGACAAGCCTCCCTAAAACATGAAGCATGCTGTTGACTTTGTTCCCGGGGCTTGTGTCTGCCAAGTCTGACTAGTCAGTTCCCATCGCTGCTGGCTGAGGTTTTTCCCATCACCACGGCAGCAGAACACACTTGCCTTCTCTCTTTAGATGGTTTGTTATTTTAAGAAAAGCCGAGCATGGAATCGCTGGGAATCATTGCTGCTTCTGACCACAGAGAACACGTTTTCCCTACTGGTTGTTTTTCTTTTCAGCTTCCTGGGGCTTTAGTGGTATTTACATTTAGGCCCTGTCATTTTGCTTTTTCATGAAAGCCCATTTGAATGAGGCACTTGGAATCCAAATATAATTTTGTTGTTGTTGTTCAAAAGGAATCCAAACGTTTAAGAGTCTCACCATTGGTCACTGAAATGGAAAGATTAAAAAATTTCATTTGCTTAGTTTTTCTTCTTTAAATTTGGTAAAAGTCATTTTGCATGCCCTGAGAAGCGCAGCTGGCATCTATAACCTGCCTTCCTACTTTATAAAATGTAATTTTGTACTCCCCACTTTCAGATCTGTGATGCAAAGTTGGTGAAAGAGTCCCGAATGAATATCCATATGAAATATTTTCTTTTTCTTTAATTTAAATTTTAACTTTTACTTTAGCTTCAGGGGTACACGTGCAGGTTTGTTACATAGGTAAACTCATGGTTTGGGGGTTTGTGTACAGATTGTTTAATGACTTGAGTAACTGAGCATAGTACCTGACAGATTTTTTTTCTGAACTTCTCCCTCCTCCTAACCTCCTCCCTCAAGTAGGCCCTAATGTGTGTTGTTCCCCTCTTTCCATCTATGTGTTCTCATTATTTAGCTCCCACTTATAAGTGAGAACATGTGGTATTTTGTTTCCTGTTCCTGTGTTAGTTTCCTAAGGAAATGGCCTCCGGTTCCATCCACGTTCCTGCCAAGGACATGATCTAGTTCTTTTTTATGGCTTCATAGTATTCCATGGTATATATGTACTACATTTTATTTATCCACTCTGTCATTGATGGGCAATTAGTGATTTCATGTCTTTGCTATTGTGAATACTGCTGCAGTGAACATATGCATGCATGTGTCTTTATGGTAGAATAATTTATATTCATTTGGATATATACCCAGTAGTGGGATTGCTGGGTCGAAATGGTAGTTCTGTTTTAGGTTCTTCGAGTAATCTCCACATTGCTTTCCACAATGGCTGAACTAATTTACATTCACACCAGCAGTGTATAAGCGTTGCCTTTTCCATGCAACCTCACCAGCATCTGTTAATTTTTTACTTTTTAACAGTAGCCATTCTGACTGGTGTGTGATTGTATCTCATTGTAGTTTTGATTTGCATTTCTCTAATTGTTAGTGATATTGAGCGTTTTTTCATATATTTGCTGGCCACATGTATATCTTCTTTTGAAAAGTGTCTTTTCATGTCCTTTGCCCACTTTTTAATGGGATTGTTTGTGTTTTGCTTGTACATTTGTTTAAGTTCCTTGTGGATTCTGGATATTAGACTTCGTTAGATGTATAGTTCAGAAATATTTTCTCCCATCCTGTAGGTTTTCTGTTCACTCTGCTGATAGTTTCTTTTGCTATGCAGAAGCTCTTTAATTTAATTAGGTCCCATTTGTCAAGTTTTGCTTTTGTTGCAATTGCTTTTGGCCCAGATGAAATATTTTCTTTAATGGGAAAAGAGTGTTTCAGGTCCTCAAATGTTCCTGCACTCATTGTAGCCTTTTCCTCAGTGGTCTGGTTGAAGAAAATGAAAGAAACAAATAATATGTGCTATGTACTGGCCGCATTAAAGTCAGGTTATGCTTTAGCTCTCTAAGTGACTAGTGCTGTTAATCTAGTGTTTATTAGCACTGTTTTCAGGCACCCTTCTCACTTAAAGCTTGTCTGTGGCCCCATTTTCTTTACTTTTTCCTTTTTTTTTTTCCCTGTGGCAGAGATTTTCAATTTCTTTTTTTTTTTTTTTTAATTATACTTTAAGTTTTAGGGTACATGTACACAACGTGCAGGTTTGTTACATATGTATCCATGTGCCATGTTGGTGTGCTGCACCCATTAACTTGTCGTTTAGCATTAGGTATATCTCCCAATGCTATCCTTCCCCACTCCCCCCACCCCACAACGGTCCCCGGTGTGTGATGTTCCCCTTCCTGTGTCCATGTGTTCTCATTGTTCAATTCCCACCTGAGTGAGAACATGTGGTGTTTGGTTTTTTGTCCTTGTGATAGTTTGCTGAGAATGATGGTTTCCAGCTTCATCCATGTCCCTACAAAGGACATGAACTCATCATTTTTTATGGCTGCATAGTATTCCATGGTGTATATGTGCCACATTTTCTTAATCCAGTCTATCATGGTTGGACATTTGGGTTGGTTCCAAGTCTTTGCTATTGTGAATAGTGCCGCAATAAACATACGTATGCATGTGTCTTTAAAGCAGCATGATTTATAATCCTTTGGGTATATACCCAGTAATGGGGTGGCTGGGTCAAATGGTATTTCTAGTTCTAGATCCCTGAGGAATCGCCACACTGACTTCCACAATGGTTGAACTAGTTTACAGTCCCACCAACAGTGTAAAAGTGTTCCTATTTCTCCACATCCTCTCCAGGACCTGTTGTTTCCTGACTTTTTAATGATCGCCATTCTAACTGGTGTGAGATGGTATCTCATTGTGGTTTTGATTTGCATTTCTCTGATGGAATGGCCCCATTTTCCCCCATCACCATGGCTCCTCCTCTGCTTTCCTTGTGGGGCTTTCACATTCTTGGCACCTGCTGACCTAGCAGCAGGCATTTTTCTGCCACTTGTCAACTCTCATCTGACTGTGGCCACCTTGTTTCCCTGCAGACATCCATATGTACTCTTCTGGTCTCTCTTTTTACATAATTCCTCTCACCTCTGTTCCTTCACATATTCCTCCCACCCCCACCTCCTCTCATGGTTCAACTCAGGTCACCCTTCCTCCCCCGGGCCTTCTTCAGTGGAAGTGAATCCATGTTGGCTGTCTTGTTCTTCAGCGCCTCTGCACATATCCAGTCTACACTCTATAAAGGTTCCTTGCCTCGGACTATCTCACCTGACTCACAGTCATAATATAGGTCCTGGTGTTGCCTTCCTCTGAGGATAGGACCATAGGCTAGCAATGATATTTTTCTTAACACCACCAGAAAACAGGTGGAGTCAGGGGGCTATGTATAGAGTGTTTACTCATACCTAGTAGCTTTTGAAGAGTTGATCCTAGAAGAATAGTGAAATATACATGTTTGACAGATTGGAGATGCAAAGGAAAAAAGTCTGAGTTGAGCCTTGGGATGCTCAGTTCTAAGGTTTTTATGTGAAGGCCATGCCATAAAATGCCCCAAATTCTTGATGGAAGGGCAAGCATTTAGTAATATAATTGGAATGTGTTGAAGTGTTACATATTCTATATGCATATGTTTACATATATAATAATTTTCTGTATTTAGTGAAACAAGGATGTGTGATGGGCTGTCAAAAGATGTTTTTTACTTATGTTAATCAGTTCTACACCAGTGTCAGATACTTTGATACCTGAAATATGTGTTTCAAAATTTCAAATAAAATTTATGACATGAAGATATCATAGATTATTAATTGAAATCATGCTAATGTCATATATTAGGCCATTTAGAGTCTGGAATTTGGGGAAGGATGGAAATGAATATTCAGATTCTCTGAAGCATAGAAAGAGGCAGGGCTGACTGTCTCCAACTTAAATTTTTTTTTCCTAGTAGTAACTGTCTATTTACTTTACACTATAATTGAACAATAAAAGGTAAGTGAAGAGTTGTTTTGATTCTGTTTAAGTTTAGGAGGAATATTATTTTTTACGTGTGTGATAAAAACTTTATTTTGCTTGACTTTATAAATGTTGGGTAAGTTGGTGTTAGCTTCACTGGCTTTGTTATAAGCAATTTTGTTATTATATAAAGTAATTACTGACAACCTATAAAGAAAAAATAAGCACATTATAATCTGAATCTGATTTTGCATTGCGTAGACACAACTGGAAAGACTGTTTATGATAAGGAAACCAGATGATTTGAGCAAGAGAGACTTGGGCTGGATGTGGAGCAGATGGTGGAGGAGATGGAGACCCTCAAATGGAAATAGCTCTATATTTCCTGCAGGTGCAAAGGGCTTTATAAAAGGGCAATGAGAGAGGGTAGAAGGTTAGACCTTGAGTTCTCATTCTTTTATAAACATTTAACACCTTCTGATTTTTCTCTTTAGATACTAAAACATTATTTACAAAGAATTAATGACTTTCCTTTAAAACATATAATGAATTCATTCATAGGACTTCTGCCAGAATTTAAGGCCTATGCTCTGGACTATTCAGCAAAGAATTCATAATTCAAAAGAAAATTTTAAAGTCTAATGTTCGGGTTCCCATTGGAGCCAAGGTTTGGTTATGGACCAATGCAAGGATACAGGTACACTTACCCACATTGACCCAAAGATGCACTGACATTGCCCCTGAAGTTGATTACTGAGCACTTCATAGTATTTGAGTTGTAGATTTTGTGCTATTTTACTTTGGTCTATATAACAAGTGAGAAGTTATCCACTTTCTGAAGCATATTTATTCTAAGTCTATAGATACACTAAACAGACAAATCTCTTTGAGTGTGGCAGTTGAAGTGTCTTGATCCATTCCAAACTAGGAATGCACCTCCTGGACTGTCCTGTCATTAAGATGAGGCCTGACCCCTATCAGAGACAGGCTTGTGAGGCCAAGAACACAGGCTTCATCCAAGTGGCCCCTTAGCATTGCCATTTTCCATGACCCACAACTGTAACCCAAGCTCAGTCAGCTGCTGTTTTTCACCCCCACTCCCCTCCACCCCTTTTAAAATAGAACATTTCAAATTAAGCAGAAGAATTGTGAGAGTAATACAATGTACACTGGTAGGCTTTGCATCTAAATTTGACAATGTGAACATTTCGCCAATTTATTGTTTTGTGTCTCCTCCCATACGTATGTATATGTATGTGTATACACAAATTTTTTCCCCTGAACCATTTGAAAGTAAGTTGCAGACATCATGCTATTTCACCCCAATGTACTTCAGCATTATCACTTTAGAACAAGAACATGTCACAGTACCATTAAATACCAAGGAATTTGACACCAATACAATATGCCATTTAAACACAGTCCCTTCTAAGATTTCTCCATTAGTTCAAATGATTACTGTATAGCTGCTTCTTTTGATCCAGGATCATGCATTGCCTTTAGTTGTTCTGTCTCTCTTTAGTCTTCTTCAGTATAGAAGAGTTCCCTACATTTATGTCTTATCTAATAATGCAGTGCAGTGTTGAAAAGTCCAGGCTAAGGCTGGATGTGGTGGCTCACGCCTGTAATCCCAGCACTTTGGGAGGCTGAGGCAGGCGGATCACTTGAAGTCAGGAGTTTGAGACCAGCCTGGTCAATATGGTGAAACCCCATCTCTACTAAAAATACAAAAATTGGCCAGGCATGGCGGTGTATACATGTAGTCCCAGCTACTCGGGAGGCTGAGGCAGCAGAATCGCTTGAACCCAGGAGGTGGAGGTTGCAGTGAGCAGAGATTGTGCCACTGCACTCTAGCCTAGATGACAGAGCTGAGACTCCATCTCAAAAAAAAAAAAAAAAAGTCCAGCTAGTTGTTTGATACAGTGTTCTACATTCTGTATCTGTCTGCTTGCTTTCTCACAGTTAGAACACAGTTAGATTCCAGTTAATTACTATTGCCAGAGCACCATGTAGGCAATGCTTATCCTTCTTGTTGCATCACATCAGGAGTCACATAATGTTTGCTCCTCCCATTCTTGGTGGTACTAAATTGAAATCCTTGGTTAAACTGGTACCCACTAGATTTCTCCATTGCAGAGATTTCTCCTTTGCTTTTTTGTAATTAGTAAGTAATCCATGGGGTAATATTTTGAGGACCCTGTGACTCTCCCGATCCAAACCTTTACCCAAAGTTTTTGACATCCATCCATTGAGAATTCTTGCCTGAATCATTTTTATTTTGATGGTTGCTGAAGACCAGAGCCTTTTAATTGAACACTAATTGTTACTGCAGGAACCAGGAAAGAGTGGAAACGGAGCTTCAAGGCAGAAACCGCATCAAGGAACCAATTGAACAGACATGTGTCCTATTCATCTTTGTGCCCTTTCTGCCTAACATCATGCCTGGCACAAAGGAAGGTCTAGAAAAACATTGTGGTTGAGAAAATCATAAAAAGAACAGTACTTGACGATTTCTTTTTAATGAGGTCTAACAGTATCTGCTTAGAACATTAGGATATTTCCCTCGGAATATGATGGATATTTGAATATTTCATCAATATGCACTGTGAGTTTTATCAGCATGCAGCATTTCTTCTGTCACCATCATTTATATTGAAAGCACAGATTTTTTTTTCACTCACAATTCTCTGCCCAGAATCATCTTTAAAACAGCATATTTGTAGGTCTTATAAGGAAAGGATGTTCTCCTTTCCAGAAATAATGTCAGATGCATACATTTTTCCCTTTCTCTTTCTGAGAAAATTTCTTCCTTACAACCTTCAAGATATGTCATGATGATTCTCACTCTCAGTAGGATATCTGTAAACTTGCAAGAAGCAAAACCATACTCCTGTTCTTCCTGGCCCCATAGGGCATGACCGTGCTGTGTGAGTGCCAACAGAGAATGCTGCTGTGGTTGCACCATTTTCATAGGTACATAGGTTTGCCAGCCATAAAGTTACTTATAAATGTGCTCATATCTAAAGACTCATCACCCAGCGTGTATTTTTCTGGACCTCACTCCCAAGTCAGAAACATTACCCGTCTTAGAGAACTTTGAGTTTGCATCTAAAGATGGAACTCCATTTATCTTTGTGAGACTTCTTTCTCACACAATTCCTGATGTTTAGTAGTTTGTAAATGCATTTGTGTACCATTCGTGTTTATTAATATTCAGGAAATTTAGTGTTAGCATTCCTGTTGGTTATTTAATTTGAAAGATATCATTCATCCCTGTGATAGGTGTTTCTGGTTCCCTGGAATAGCAGAAGTATGAAATGCCATAAATTGTCTCCTTGTACGTTAGGTGTTGACTTTCTCTCATGGGTTCTTCCAAAGCCTGTGGCTACCACTCAGCACACTTAAGACTCTGTCAAGAAGAGGTGCTACCAAATATCTTCAATAGGGCCTGGATTGTTGGAGCCTCCTAACAACTCAGTTTGTAAACTTGATGCTAGCTTTATTAAAATATGGAGGAAGCTGAAGCAGTGGGAAACCTATCTGACTTGTTTTTTTCTCCAACTTCAAATCAGAAAGCTATAGTCCTGGTTGGCCCCATTTTGTTCTTTCAGGCAAAAGAAAGATATCCCATCAGAAAACCATCTAAGCTGAGGCTGAGCAACAAATAGTTATCATAAAAGTCACCTTTCATTGTATCAAGTAGTTAAGCAATGCCCAAGCTGCAGTGTGGTCACTGATAGGGCAGCTACCATGTTGGCTCTCCACACTTCCATAGATCCGTCTGGCAAGGCAACAACAAGCCCAAATGAATTCAGAGCTTTGTTACTTACACAGACAGCAAAATCAAGATCAGTATGCCATCAGCTCCTTGCCTCCCTAGTCCCACACACAGGATGACACCAAACTGGAGAGGCCAGAAGACAGGTGGCATGACAGGTGGGTCACTTTGCCCTAGAGGAGCCACCTCTAAATTACAGCCAAGTAGTTTTATTGGCACAGAAGCCTGCGGCTGTGCCCTAAGGGGAAGGGGGTTTGCAAGATGCAAAGTCCTGTACACAACCAAAACAAGGAAGATGGATGGGAAAGGTCTTGTGCAGTCTCCCACAAAATCTGGAGGTAGATGAGAAACCGCCTCACAGGAGCTCCCCACAAGGCTGCTTGTCTTCCTTCATTTCAGGAGGAATTTCAGGGCATCCCACCAAGACTTCGGTCAGACTGTGGCTAAGCTTTGCCTCTATGGCCTATAAGGGGATGTGCAAGGTCACCATGGTGCCATGATGGAGCCATTCCTTGCATATTGCCCTTCTCATCTATCAGCATGGGAAGAAGTTTGCAGAAATGAAGCATCCAGAGTTTTGTGAAGCTGGTTAGGTGAAAAATTAAGGCTTTTAGACCTTACACATTATTTTTTTCAGGATAGGATAGATGTGCTGCAGGAACAGATAATCCAATTTCTGGTGGCTTTACACACAAAGGTTTGTATTTTGTTTATTGTACATATCCAGCAAGAGTTGGTAGTAGTGTTGTATTCCACACAGTCATTCAGGGACCCAGGCCCATGGCAGCAGTTTCACTATCCTATAGCCACAACATCTGCAACTCATGTCCCCCTCAGTTCACCATGATAAGAAAGGACACAGCCAGAAGATCATGTGCCAGCTCTTTTACACTTTGGCCTAAAAGGGACACAAATCACTTCTGGCCACAAGTTACTGGTCAGAACTATATCACGTGATCTGACATAACTGCAAGGGGCTGGAACATGCGAGGGAACAGAGGGAATATTTAATAAGCATTTTTGTTTCTGCCACAGACATATATTTCCCCAAAGTCAAACTATCAGTCTGGCTAAGTATTTTTACAAGTGAATATTCGCAAAAAAAGTTCCATTTGTTAATGCTTAACATTTTACAAACTGCTTTCACTGTAATTGCCCTTAGAAAAAGGTTTGGGGGAAGGGGCATACCTAAGGCTAAGACCATGAATGACAGTGTTCCTGACCTCAGAAACTACAGTTGCTCCATGTACAGTACTTAGATAGAAACCAACACACACTTTAGCCTGTACTGATTTTGGTGGGGACTCAAAGGATCATTTTGTACTTGTTCATATTGAATGGAAACCAAGTGGTGTTTGGAACACCATCCTAAATCATCAGAGGCACTGTGCTATTCTAGAAGCAGTTTGCATCTACTATTCCAACCCCAGATCTATATTGTAAGGAACTAAATCCCTTTCTTGGAGGAAATGAAATGGTGTTAGTATTGCAGGTGCAGATTTTACTCTCCACATAAGTCAAAGTAGAGATTTAATTGCCACTCTTTAGAAGTGCAAAACAAGAGAATGTAATAATTAGAACTGTCATTATATACTTTTTCTTTCTCTGATGTTGATATTAACTGGTTTTAAATAGTTTCTAACCTTTACTTTGATATAATTATTAAATTTTTAACATAAAACTCAAATTTCATTTTTTACACTTAAAATGCTTTAACAGATCCATGTTAAGTTAGCTGATGAAGATATGTGAAAGAAGTAATAAAATTATATTGTTTAATTTTTCTCAAAGACATAGAGGAAAACTGTCTCCAAATTTTATATGACCTATCAGTGATAAAAGAGACATCAATATTTTGTTGGGATATAATTAAAAACTGATAATTTGGGGGAAAACTTTTAAACAGCCTTTCCCCAATCTGTACAATTTTGACGTTATCATGTGCAGCCCTGACAGGAGTTGCCAATAAAGTTAGTTTTATTAATATCACTTGAGGGAAACCAGCAGTTTCTATTGGCACAGTCTGAGCTCCAGCAGGAAGTCATCTCTTTTTCTCAGTGCATTACTTACATGTGAAAGTTGGGGTGGGGGTGCAAAAGAAAGTATATATTGAGCCCAACATATCGCCTTATTTGTCTCCCCTCTCTATGGGCATGGCATCTGTGTTTTGAAGAGTCAATGGGGGAGAAAACAGTTGTGTTAGTGCTTGAAATAGGATGCAGTACATTCCCTCTCTTCTTGTCTTCTCTTCCTTCCGCCCCCGGTCTTTCCCCTTTTGGAAAGGGGAGTTATCGAGAGACTGAGATCTCAGAGCCAACACTGAAAACGACACCAAATTATAGCTGTGTCCAGATACCTAGGATCTTGACTGGCCTTATCATAAGAGGCAAGGACTGCGGTAAACTGCACATCAGGGAATTTGATTTCTTGGTAGGTTTAAACAGCTGAAGGTAGAAGGAAAAAAAATTAAGTTCTTCCTGTTATATTATTAACTTATGAGAACAGCGAAATCTAAAAGAAATTGTTCTGCATAGTTGAAAGTAAAGATAGAATACTCAATATATTTTCTACAATTCATCTCTGATAGAGGAGAAAGTTGTTTTGTGAGGGAAAGCCTTGGGGAATTACTTGTGTTCTAGATAAAAGTGTCATTTAAGAATTTATTATGGAAAATTTCAAACAATCAAGAGAGTGGATAGAATGAACTGACTTGTACCTTACTTATCTTCAATAATTATCAATATTTTGCCCATCTTATTTCAGTAACTCTACCACCACCCCTTTTATTTTTTGAATGAAGAATTTTAAAGCAAGTCCTAAACATCCTGTGAGGTAACTTGCTCCAAATCTCATAATGAGAAGGTGGTGAATCAGGATTGAAACCTTGGCAGTCTGGCTCCAGAACCCACAGTCCATGGAAAGAGGACAAGTCAGCTGTGAAGATCGCTTAAATGGATTTGTTCTTAAAATCAATGTAACTAACAAGCAAGCAGACATTATCTGGGGAACCTCCACTCCAAACTGTCTTTGAATCTAGGGGTTCCATTTTTAAAAAGGGTGTGTTGGGGGGAAGGGTAGGTTCAGGATTTAGTATCAGGTGCCCTTTTTACTAGAGTAGCATTTTATGGGTGTACTCATGAAACACCAGTTAATTTGCCTTGGCTGCCTCTCTCCAAAACATATTTATAGAAATTAATATCTACCCAGGCACTTCTGCCAACAGTTCAGGAATTTAAAATAGTGGGGGTCAAGCACAGGTCGTGGCTGAGAGAAGGCTGGAAGTCCATGAGTTCTACTGTGATCTGACAAAATATGAGGAGTTGACTCTTTAATTATAGCATTTTGGGAGTAACTAAAGGTTTGACACATACTGTTCTACATTGTTTAAAAATATACTGTTTTTAGAGTACATAGAACAGAACTTAAATGACTGCTAATACCTCAGTGACACTGAATCAATCATTTGAATTCAGTTACATGTCCTGAGCCAAAGCCTAGTACTCGACCTTGCATTAGGCCCTCTGTGATCTGTGGGCGTCAAAGAAAGATCCTGGGAGGGGCATGTCCTGCTTTTAAAGAGCTGGCACTCTCTCTTGGGTGAGGGGTGGCCACGGAGGAACAGGCCAGATATTCAAGAAGTGGGGTTGGTGGAGTTGCCCCCCAGCCAGATGGGGCTACCTCCCTGGTCTGTGGTGGCCACACATTGCTAGGACACACTCAAAACAATACCGTGGCCTCCAGGCAGCCACAGTGTAAAATGTTCTTAATTTCCCTGGAGAGAAGGAAGAAAGAGCTTTCAATTAACATGAACACTGGCTACTTTTTCAAGTTACCTAATTGAACTGTCAGAAAGCAAAGACTTTGTGGAGAGGGTGAGAGGCAGGATTGGTAAATTGTGATTACAAAGCTGCTGGGAAAGAAAGGGCAGTTGGGGGACAGGAGATGTGACAGCTTGGAGCTGCAGTGGGCACCCCAGATTCCCGTGGTGGAGGTCTACTGAAATGGATAGAACACTTTGGAGGACTGCCTGTCAGTCTCTGCATTTCTTGGGGAGGGGCCTGACCATGGGATCTGGAAGGCAGGCAGGAAGGAGAGATGCTAATATCTTAAGTCATCCTTATAAAACAAAGAGAATTTTCTGAGAAATGATGGTTCCTTCTTCTCCTCTGCTTTGAAGAAACATAACCTAGTGCATAGTTCCCCAAATCTTAGGGCAGTTACCTAAACTTTATGCTCATGGAAACCCAAAACACTTTTTCTCCTAGGTCAGACCCATTTCCTGGCCTGCTTCACAGTGAAGTGTGGCCATAGACTCAGTTTTATCCAGTAATATGTGAACAGAAGGATATATATCTCTTCTAAGCCTGGCCCATCAAACTGCCCACACTGTCTGCTATTCTTTTTTTTTCCTCTCTCTCTCTCTCTCTCTCTTCCCTGGCCAGACCTATTCAAAGTGATCTTGAGATCTCTGTTGAAGATGGCAGAGACTTTGTCATCCTTAATCTCTGAATGAACACATGGATAACTACCACAAACTAGAAACACCCAAGTAGCGTTATTGGCATTTTCATGAGTAAGAAATTCTGTATGTAAGCTACTGAGATTTGGGATGGGGATACATCTGTTATAGCAATTAGAACTATTTACTACAATCTTTCCCCATTCTTATCTGTATATGACTTATACTGTCATTCATTATTATTATTATTATTATTGAGATGGAGTTTCCTTCTTGTGGCCCAGGCTAGAGTGCAATGGCGCAATCCTGGCTCACTGCAACCTCCGTTTCCCGGGTTCAAGTGATTCTCCTGCCTCAGCCTCCTGAGTAGTTGGGATTACAGATGCTCACCACCACGCCTGGCTAATTTATGTATTTTTAGTAGAGATGGGGTTTCACCGTGTAGGCCAGGCTTGTCTCAAACTCCTGGCCTCAAGAGATCCACCCACCTCAGCTTCCCAAAGTGCTGGGATTACAGGTGTGAGCCACCGCGACTGGCCTACTATTATTATTTGGAGACAGAGTCTCACTCTGTCACCCAGGCTGCAGTGCAGTGGCATGATCATAGCTCACTGCAGCCTTGATGTCCTCAGCTCAGGTGATCCTCTTGCCTCAGCCTCCTGAAGTATCTAGGATTACAGGCATATGCCATCATGCCTGGCTAGTTTTTTTTGTTTTGTTTTATTTGTTGTTGTTTGTTTGTTTGTTTTGAGACAGAGTCTCACTCTGTTACCCAGGCTGGAGTGCAGTGGCGCCATCTCGGCTCACTGCAACCTCCACCTCCCTGGTTCAAGCAATTCTCCTGCCTCAGCCTCCTGAGTAGCTGGGATTACAGGTGCTTGCCACCACACCCAGCTAATTTTTTTTTGTATTTTTAGTAGAGACAGGGTTTCACCATGTTGGCCAGACTGGTCTTGAACTCCTGACCTCAGGCAATCCGCCTGCCTCAGCCTTCCAAAGTGTTGGGATTACAGGCTTGAGCCACTGCGCCCAGCCGGCCAGTTTTATATTTTTTATTTTTTGTAGAGATGAGCTCTTGCTGTGTTGCTCAGGCTGGTCTGGAAGTCTTGGTCTCAAGCAATCTTCCCACATTGATCTCCTAAAGTGCTAGGATTACAGGTGTGAGCCACTGCACCTGGCCTATTATTTTTCTTTAAATCAAGTTATTTTTTATGAATTTTGATTTTAAAAAGTAAACTTTATGTCATTATCACAAATAAAAAACAATATCACTACAAATAGAAGGTAACTCTAAAAATACATTGAGTGGAAAAAAAATGTTATTCATTTCTAGCTAGATGCTATTTCCTGGAGAAAGTTCTTTGCATGAGACCTGTTGTCTCTGTGTTGAAAAGGGGAAACTAGCCACTATTAGAAAGGTGTCAAAGACATATTACCACAAAACTGAGATGCATTGCTTGGCAGAATCAGAAGAGTTGAAAAAAATTGAAAATAATTTCCCCATAGTTATGTGATTCCATGCTATTTAATGTTCTGTCTCAGTCACCTTAAGTCATCTGGTTTACCAGTGGTGCACATCCTACCCTTGGGAGTGAAGACTTACTAAATGGAGACCAGGTTTGGCTGGAGGCTTGAGGATGAGCTGAAATGCATAATAGAAGATACATTGTGAATCTTGTAGGCGTGGAGTAAAATGAGACTTCTGCAGGCACAGGAAGACTAGCCAACCTATAGTTCATCATTTCAAGTTTGATTCTTGATATATAGATAAAAGATTTTTTTGTTAATCAGGATATTTGTGGTTTCCTCCTCTAGTGTGTTGGAATAAGCTTTGAACACACTAACCTTTCCACAGATAACAATAAACTTGGGACAAAATGCAAAAAAGCAACTACTTGAAGGTTTTTGAAAGTGAAAAAAGTAGGCAAACAGGTTTTGTAAAGCAGTGGGCACCTGGAAAAAAGGACTTTAGTGGGGTGAGTTGTCTGTTTTTGCAGAATGACACAGGGCAGCCGAAGTTGTGATTAAAAACTCCTCACTTTCTTGTCTGAGTGGCAAGAAGAAAGAGTCTAGGGAGCCTGTGGCCATTGGCGAGTGAGAGGGGAAAACCAGAAAGGAGAGAGTCAGACAAGGAGAGCCCAAGATTGTGAGTATAAACTCTGCCCAAGTCTCTGGCTGATTCTTTTTTTTTTTTTTTTTTTTGAGATGGAGTCTTGCTCTGTTGCCCAGGCTGGAGTGCAGTGGCATGATCTTGGCTCACTGCAAGCTCCGCTTCCCGGGTTCACATCATTCTCCTGCCTCAGCCTCCCGAGTAGCTGGGACTACAGGCTCCCGCCACCACGCCCAGCTAATTTTTTGTGTTTTTAGTAGAGACAGGGTTTCACCATGTTAGCCAGGATGGTCTTGAGCTCCTGACCTCATGTTCCGCCCGCCTGGGCCTCCCAAAGTGCTGGGATTACAGGCGTGAGTCTGGCTGATTCTTGAGCCATACATGTGTTGGACAAAATCAAAGCAGCACAGTTAATGGTAACAGAGCTGGACTGAGATTTGATCTGTTGCCTCCTGCACACAAGACAGGGTTTGCAGTTTAACAAAACTAATTGCTTGTTAAAATAAACATTAACACTGTTCAAAGGAAAATAATAGAATCCAGAGTCTCCACAACAATATTCATAATGTTTAGGATACAATCCAAAGTTACTTTAGCTACAAAGAACCTGGAAAATGTGACCCATTCTCAAGGGAAAATGGATAGAAGCCAACCTTGAGATGATCCAGATATTGAAATTATTAGAAAATGATTCTAAAGCAACTCTTATAATTGAGATAAAGGAAAATATTCTTGTACACATAAGTGAAAATATAGGGAATTTCAGCAGGAAAATATAAAATATAAAAAGGGACAAAAGGGAAATCTTAGATCTAAAAATAATATCTGAAATTTAAAAAATCCTCTGTATGGGTTTGATTAATAGCACAGTAGAAGTAATGAGGAAAGATTCAGTAAACCTGAAGATAAATGAGTAGAAAGGATCCTTGATGAATAACGGAGATAAAGGATTTTAAAAAGTGAACAGGATCCTAGACCTGTGGGACAGAATGAAAGCCTAGTATGTGTTTAAGGTTTCAGAAGGAAAGGAGAAAGAGTGGAACAGAAAAAATATTGATGAGATAATGACCAAATTTTTCCAAATTGAATGAGAAACACAAATTTACAAATGCAGAAAGCTCAGTGAAACCCAGATAAGATAAATACAAAAATGTCACACCAAAGCATATCATAGTCAAATTGCTAAAAATTAAAGAGAAAATCTTGAAAGCAGTCAGAGGAGAATGGCACACAACATAGAAGGTAACTGATTTAAATGATCATGGACACGCATCTGGAGCTATGAAGGCCAGCAGAGAGTTTAACAGTATCTTTAAAGTTCTAGAAGGTTTGGGGGAATGCAATCCTGTCGAACAAGAAATCTGTATCCAATGAAAATGTCCTTTGAGAATAGAGGCAAAAATATTTTTAAATAAAAAGAAATATAAGAAAACTCACTATCAGCAGATCTGCACTACAAGAAATGCTAAAGAAAATTTTTAAGCTGTAGGGAAATAATATGAGAGGGAAGCCTGGCTATTTCAAGGAGTAATGTAGAACATCAGAAATGGCAGATATCTGTGTAAATAAAAAATATTTTGTTGCCTCTCAATTTATTTACAATGCATATGATTAATAGCAAAAACTATAACATTATCTTATGGGATTTATTATGTACATAGCTGTAATGCATATGACAGCCATAGCATAAAGTACAGTACTATGGCGGTGGGAGGATGTGTTAATGGAATATATGGTTAAGGTTTGCACGTTTTCTGTGAAGTGGTGCAGTATGAACTCTAAGTAGATTGTGAAAAGTTAAGGATATATATCCTCTAAAACAACACTAAAAAAATAATGCTAAAAGCCATAGCTAAAAAGACAATGGGTAAGTTGAAATGGAATTCTAAAAAAAAATAGGTGGAGTGTTTATGGTATGGGTAAACTAACATACTAAGATCGTTGATCATTTTGGTGCTATGGGCTTGTCATGGAATTCATCATATCTGATTTATGCTTCCTTCCTTCCTACTTATCTGGCTGTTTTCATTGAACTGACTCGTTCCATAAAGTCTGTTATAATTTGCCACACTTGTTTTCTTATCTCCATAAATATGTGAGCTTCATGCTTATAGTGCTGTACATTCAGTCATTATGGTGATGAGGATTTGGAAGTTTCAGATGGAGAGAAAAATACTTAATACCTATCTTCTGCAGAGATTGTCTTTTCTTAAAGATAAGATTCTGGCAAATTACAAAGATGACTGTGGGAGGCTTAAAAGTAGCCCATGATATGTTAGTAGCAGGTACATGGAATCTAATGTTCAGCATATTTGATTTTTCTTAATAAAATTCATTTTGACATATAATAATAATTGCCATTTCTCACATATCTATTGTGTGCCAGGCACTCTACTGAGACCTTAACATGTGATATGTCATTTAATACTCAAAATAGAGTCAATGAGAAAAAATTATTTCCCTATTTGCAGATGGTAAGTAATTTGTCTTAGATCAAATAACCCTCTCTGTAGTTAATGATGGTGGTAGGATTCAAATCTGGGTTGGCTTGGATTTGAACCTCTTCCCATATGTCACACTTCTTCCTGTTAGATGTTTACCAAATTTAAATGTTGACATCTGCTTTGTCATCATCATTCAACCATAGGTATTTTTGAGCACCTGGGAATAATAAGTTGCAGGAAGATGCATGATCGACTGTTGATGGTTAGAGTAGTACGTGCCTTCTCAAGAGCCCAAAGTGCTACAAGCTGTTTTTCCCATCCTCTTCTACTTCTATCCTAAAAACATTACCTACCCTACTAAAATCTAGTACCATTCATCAAAATTATTCGTTTTTTCCACTGTGCAGAGGAATAAACTGAGGCCCAAATGAATCGTATTAGAAGAGCTAGGTGGGAAACCATAGCCTAGGCTCAGACCTAAACCGAGGCCTTTCTTTACACTTTTTTTTTTTTTTTTTTTTTGAGACGGAGTCTGGCCCTGTCACCCAGGCAGGAGTGCAGTGGCGCCATGTCGGCTCACTGCAACCTCTGCCTCCTGGGTTCAAGTGATTCTCCTGCCTCAGCCTCCCGAGTAGCTGGAATTACAGGACTGTGCCACCATTCCTGGCTAATTTTCATATTTTTAGTAGAGACGGGGTTTTGCCATGTTGGCCAGGCTGGTCTCAAACTCCTGGCCTCAAGTGATCTGCCTGCCTCAGCCTCCCAAAGTGCTGGGATTAGGCATGAGCCACCTAGCTCAACCAGCCTTCTCTTACACTTTAAATTTGAATCCCTATTCTAAAAATTTAGTGGTTTAAGACATGTTTTCTGAAGTGTTCCAGAACTGAACTGCTCCTGGCAAAGTCAGGATAGTGAGAGGATAGGAATAGAATCTATATGAGCCAGTCACATTTTTTCCTGTCTCATCTCTGGAATGTCATGGCAGGATATCAGATCAGTAGTGACATTTACAGGAGACTGAACATTTTTAACTGGAAAGATGAAGAGTTTTTAAGACCTTATTAAAACCAAACTCCAATTTAACTTAGAACCATAGCCTTTTAAAGGTATGATAGAATCTTAGAGAACATAATTCTCATATTCTCTTTTTACAGGTTCTTTCAAAGGCCAAGAGAGGTTGAATATCTACTTTAGAGGCAGGACACACAATTAGTCTTTGCAGAACCAGGTGTTCTAACTTCCAATTTGGGACATTCACCATTTTTTCATTCTTACCCCCACTTCATCTACTTCTTGAGCTAATGAGCTATTTGTGAAGCTTCCCTTATGCCTCTTGAACTGCTTCTGCTGCTCTCGGAAGTGTGCTTAGAATGAGAACATATACATTATAATTTAAATTATTGGATCAGTTGAACAATTCGTCCCTGCAGGTCAAATTCTTCAATTGTGATCAATCCCTATGAGTCAAATTCAAATTTAATTTTTTAAATGTTTTTTTTCAAAAAGATTTCATTTCATTCTACTTCTCCAAATAGATAAATGTTTATTTCAAGAAACACTGCCAAATATTGTTAGTGCTTCAAATCTGCCAGCCATTGACTTTTTTTTTTTTTTTTGAGATGGAGTCTTGCTCTGTCATCCACGCTGGAGTGCAGTGGTGCAATCTCAGCTCACTGCAACCTCCACCTCCCACGTTCAAGTAATTCTCCTGCCTCAGCCTCTCAAGTAGCTGGGACTACAGGCACACACCACCACACCAGGCTAATTTTTTGTATTTTTAGTAGAGACGGGGTTTTACCATGTTAGCCAGGATGGTCTTGATCTCCTGACCTTGTGATCTGCCCTCCCCAGCCTCCCAAAATGCTGGGATTACAGGCGTGAGCCACCGCACTCGGCCAGCCATTGACTTCTTGAAGCAGCATAATTTGTTGTCCGTGGCTCCTGAATGTTCCTCATGCCACCAGCCCTTATGGTGGATAGTACAACACCAATGTATTCCTTGGAAATCTGGGATCATCTGGAAAGTTCGTTTCTGTGGGTCAGACTTTTAATTGATTGTTCAACTGATCATTCCACCCAAATATTTTCTTTTTTTTTTTTTTTAAATTATACTTTAAGTTTTAGGGTACATGTGCACATTGTGCAGGTTAGTTACATATGTATACATGTGCCATGCTGGTGCGCTGCACCCACTAACTCGTCATCTAGCATTAGGTATATCTCCCAATGCTATCCCTCCCCCCTCCCCCCTCCCCACCACAGTCCCCAGAGTGTGATATTCCCCTTCCTGTGTCCATGTGATCTCATTGTTCAATTCCCACCTATGAGTGAGAATATGTGGTGTTTGGTTTTTTGTTCTTGCAATAGTTTACTGAGAATGATGGTTTCCAATTTCATCCATGTCCCTACAAAGGACATGAACTCATCATTTTTTATGGCTGCATAGTATTCCATGGCGTATATGTGCCACATTTTCTTGATCCAGACTATCATTGTTGGACATTTGGGTTGGTTCCAAGTCTTTGCTATTGTGAATAATGCCGCAATAAACATACGTGTGCATGTGTCTTTATAGCAGCATCCTGTTTTGAAATGACTAGCCTGGTTCTACCATTCACTTCAAGCATCATTTGAACAATTTGGCCCTTTATATATCAAATAAATGTAAAGGAAGGAGTTCACTGACTTTGATGATCTTAAATAGTTTTGTCAGTACTGTAAATACTGATCTCGAATAAAATACTAAATGAAATTCAAGACCTTAGTTGACCTGCTATTGCACTAGATTTGTTTGGAATCAAAACTTATAGTCTTTTAAAGCCATATCACTGTAAAATAGAGTAAAATCTCCAGTAAAGTTCTAGATTATTCATAACACATAGTGGAAATTGTTAGGAGACTTCCATGCCATTACTCCAAGTTAAAGCCAACATTCTAAGTTAAAGCCAAGTATCCTGTTGGAATCCTGTTGGATTCAGGTTGTGCACAGCTGGGGTGACCTTCTTAAATGTTCTTATTCTAGAGTTTGCATTAAAAGCAAAGGAAAAGCTGCAAAAATAGTTGATTAGATACATCTGAGTCCACATTTTAGATATATTGAATTTGAAAAGAATCAATGATAAAAATAGGACTTGACAACATAACTAATAGTTGAAAATTTTCTTAACAATGAAAATGAGAATTTTTGTTCAATTTTGAGGGTTTTTTTTGTTGTTTCTGTTTTTGTTTTGTTTTGAGTTTTTCAGTTGGCCTATGGGAAGAAATATTTGCAGCAGCATATAATACCCAGAATAATCTTGAACTTGCCCTGAGGACTGTAGGGAAAACCCCTACTTGCCTTAGCATGTTCTTGGAAACAATACCACAAAGTGATTTATGTTTTTCTATGAGAACAACATTGTGAAAGCAGCATCTTTTCTGACCAAAGACTTGGCATCATATAAACCATCTTACCAACAGTACGCCATAAAAACAGATATGAATACAAAAAGTAAAATTCTAGCATCATAAACCTAAGTTAAAGAAGGTTTAAATTGCTGTAGCAATTGATCATTACAAGAGGACTCCCTGACTATAACAGCACACAGAGCTCTTCAAACTACAACATTGTGTCATAAATGAGATTGTGTAAATAGAAGTACCTTGCATAACCCTGGCTGGTAACTGGTATCAGGTAATGTTGATTGAGAACAAATATTAAATATCTGTTTGCTCTCCAAGGTGACATTTCTGCCTCTAAAGTTTTATGTTTCAATTTACAATGTCTACTTCTTGTTTGTTTGTTTTCTTGAGACAGAGTCTTGCTCTGTTGCCCAAGCTGGAGTGCAGGGGCATAATCTCAGTTCACTGCAACCTCTGCATCCTGGGTTCAAGTGATTCTTGTGCCTCAGCTTCCCCAGTAGCTGAGATTACAGGTGTGCATCAACACACCCAGCTAATTTTTGTATTTTTAGTAGAGATGGCGTTTCACCATGTTGCCCAGGCTGTACAATATATACTCTTATATTCTTAGACTATGAAAAATGACTTAAATTGTGGAGAAGTATGGGAAGACCTTCTTCTTCCAGAGATACCTGAATAGATCCTTCCCTATTGAATTTCCATGTAACGAGTCAGGGCATTCATGAATTGTCCTATTTTCAGTTAGTTTTCTAAGTACTATAGTAGGGACTCCTCAGATATCTGTTACAGTGGTGGATGAAGAAGGAGGAGAAGGAGAAGTTTTTAAAGTATAATAGCTAACCTAATCTTTTGTCTCTTCCACCATCTTTAGTTAATTCAGATGTTCTCCTTCAATGGCTCATCATCAGACATATACCCCTCTCCCCTCTCTCCCCAGCAAAGGCTAACCAGGAAATATGGAATAGTATTTATTTTGCCATAGGGTGTACTAGACATCTCCCAAGAATGCTAAGATAGGATAAGGCTGTATCCTCCTGATCCTTCAGGATGAGCAGGCCAAACCATCAAATGATCAAATTCCAGAATAGCCAATTTGCCCCGAAGTGATTTTGGTAAAGAATCCATTTGGAATAGTATTTCTCAACTCTCCGACTACATCAGAATCACCAAGGCCTGGGGCCTGCCCCAGACACTGATCCAGTTGTTCTGTGGCGAGATGGCAGTTAAAAAAACACACAAGAACTTTCAAGTGATTGTAATATACAGCCAGAGTTGAGAACAATTGGGCCAGAGCTTTCTTATCTGCCAAATAATGGAAGGCAGAATGGAGGAATAGGGGTTAATTTTATTAACATCTAATAAATTGATTTAAAATGAAAATGGGTGCCTCTTAATAATAATAATACTGATTTGGTGTTTATCATCTTACAGGCACTGTACACACATGAACACATTTAAACTGTGCCACAGCCTTCACTGTATAGGTGAGAAAACAGTCCTGAGTGTCAATTAACTTAGTCATAACAATATAGCTGCTGGCATTAGGATCCAGCTCTACTTCGGAAAAGCTCATCAGTTTCCACTCTACCACACCACCTCTACACTTTTACTTTCTCATCTACGTTTTTCTTTGAGGAGATGCAGTTAAAGTCAGGCAAGCTAACATATATTACCACTGATAACAAATTCAGCAGCCTAAGTATTGCTGAGGAATTTAAGTGGCTGATGTGTTTGTTCCAGTCTTGGGTAGAAATGATACATTATCAACAATTTATTTATTTATTAACAATTTATAAAGAAAACAGTTTTATCAAAAAATTATCAGCTTGAATTTTATGAATGAAGACAGATGATTCCTGTCCATGGAAAATAAATAGTCTGTATCCTTTAAATAATTTAAGGCACATTTCTTGCTAATATTCTGGGTCCACCTATGTCTTGCATTGAAAAAGTATTTACCTAATATCTTAAAGCAGGGCTATGATAACTTAGTTCTCAAGGAAAGAAGGTTTTAAAAATAATTTTCTCTGCTCTCCATTTCTCTTACTGTAAGCATGTGGCAAAGTCTTGGCATCTGCTCAGAATAAATTTTCTGCTTCCTTTCTGTCTTTTAGTCAGCGCACGCTTTCTCTGAGTTCTCCCCCTTACTCCTTCCCTGCTTTAGTAATCTACAGGAAACCAGACCTTACTAATTTGAGTGCTTGCTCTTAGAATTACTTATTACTGTATTAATACATATTTGCTAGAGTTTGTGGAGGATTTGTATTGCTCTAGGTGCTAATAAAAATGTGTAAAAGACAGGCCCCTTAAATAATGTGCAATTTTGAGGGAAACAACAAAGGCAAAAGGATTTCTTTGGGACTGGCTATTTGCAATAAATTGCTCATTTGATTTTATTTTTTATTTTTTTTTTAGCATGCAGGAGGTTTATTAAGAAATGCAATGACGGCAGGATTGGCCAGAGAGAGAAGTCAAGACATGATGCATTCTCAATGGAATGCCTCAGCTGACCATGTGGGGAGTTCTAAAGACGGACTGATGATTCAGAGTGCCCCATGTTGATTTATCAGTAATTTGTTTTGAGCTGCCCTGGAAAGCGGGTGTGAAGTTGGTTGAGAAGGCCCCAGATTTCTCATTTTAAAATGCTGCATGTGAGAGGACATTTTTCACAAAGAACTACTAAATTAAAAAATTGGGGAATAGAACCCTACTATGAACGGAGTGTGTTTCTTCTATTCAGGCACATATTTTTGCCTAATATCCAGATGCTGTTTCCAAAGCTATTTTTTCATGAAATTGTGTTGCTCTAGAATGCTCAATGGTTCTCAAATTTTAGTGTGCATCAGAATCTTAACAATGAGGGGCTAAGACACAAATTCCTGCCCTCCTCCCTGCCGCCCCCCTCCAGAGTTTCAGATTCATAGGTCTCGGTTGGGTCTGAGAATTTGCATTCCCAAGCAAGTTAACAGGTGATGCTGATGTTTCTCAGGGGATAACGGGCAAATGGTGAAACCCAGAAAGTTTTGTTTCTAGATATGAGATCCCATTGTCTTTGCCAATGAAGCTGTGCTGTAACTCCATCTTAACAAGTAACCCCAAATTATACCCACCTGAAAGACCTTTGTGGGTTGTGGAAAACCTGGAAGATGGCTGAGAGACAGTACCCTCGAAGTAGTTCTGAGGAGATTGTTCTGCTTGTATTCCCATGCAGCGCCATCACTGCCTGACTTCCTTATGTGTGTCTGATTTGAGGCAGTTCTCTAGGAACCAGTTCCTGGTGCTGCAGTGCCACTGGCAGCTTCCCAGGGCTTCCAGAACCCTAGTGGCATGGTGGGAACTCCTGTTCCTCACCCGACCTCTCCACAGCCCTGGACCTGTAAGGTTTCTTCCAGGCTACATGGAATTAGATTTCCACTTTTCCTTGGTTCACAGGGGGCAGGAGCCAGGTTGGAACGGCTGCCAAGGAGACTGTCTTTTTTCAGAGCCCTTAACTGGCAGTCAGCAAGACCGAACTCCTCTGCTCCTTGGTGAATGGTGATGCTGATTATTTGGAAGCTTTAGCACCAAAGTTTGAAATTCCCCTAAGTGAATGGTTTTGGCGATCCCCTTCCTTTAGTTATACTATTGGCTTTCTCTCATGTTCATTTAGGTTGCCAAATCTTCTGTATAATCCTCATCCCCCATCAAAAGAGAAAAAAGAAAAAAGAAAAAGAGTAGTTCTATTTTTGTGGAAAAAGAGGAAAGAATCCAGGAAACATTTCAGAGAACTGTATGTTTTCTTAGTTCCTTCTCTCCAGACACGAAATCCAAGGAGTATTTGGTCAGTTGCTAACATTACATGAGGGGCTTTTTTTTTTTTTTAAAGTAGGTATAAAATTTAACTTCTCTGCCCACCTCCTGACAAGAAACTGTGGAAAATATCCAGTTTACACAATTTGAATAAAATTATTCCTTGATAAAGGTCACGTTTTCTTATTCATAAGAATCTTCACAGGAAGATAGCATGGAAAGGGACTAATAGGTGCCCAGGTTCCACTCTGATTGTGCAGAGAATATAAGGCGGGCCCAGGCTGTAAGGAGCCCTCCTACATCATTCTGCTGGTAGAATTAACAGCAGCAATTGCCCAGGTCTGTTGTAAGATTAGGATTCTGCCCACCCTCTGGAGCTGCCACCATTCTGCCTTCTCTTTCTTAGAGTTTTGTATTCTAAGTTTTTACTTTGAATCTTGAGAATAGAAAATAGTTTTCAGTCTCTTGAGATTTTACATAGTTTGTCCATGAGCTTCAGAAATGAGTTCAGTGTAACTGCTTAGATACCTCGATTTATCTTTTTCAGTTTCATTTGTTATTTTTAAAATGCTTTAAGATACGATTAAGAGGCCGGGCGTGGTGGCTCATGCCTGTAATCCCAGCACTTTGGGAGGCCGAGGCAGGTGGATCACCTAAGGCCAGGAGTTCGGGACCAGCCTGGCCAACATGGCGAAACCCCGTCTTTACTAAAAATACAAAAAAATTAGCTGGGCGTGGTGTCAGGCACCCATAATTGCAGCTACTCAGGAGGCTGAGGCAGGAGAAGTGCTTGAACCCAGGAGTTGGAGGTTGCAGTGAGCTGAGATCGCGCCATTGTACTCCAGCCTGGGCAACAAGAGCGAAACTCCATCTCAAAAAAAAAAAAAAAAACAAAAAACCATTAAGAGAATCTGCAGATAGTTCCTTTGGCAGAAATGTTGGTTAAAAAAAATCTTCTGGCTGTGCACCAAGTCAGTGACCTATAAATACTCTGTGCTGGCTCTTCTTTCTCCTCTTTGTGATTCGCTGGGATACAGATCTTGGACTAATGCCTTGAAGAAAATGTTATTTTGATGATAAGCAAATATTTCAATTGATTCTAGAATTGAAGACACTGATTGTGGACTGGATGATTTCTTCTAGCCCAAAATTCATTCTCTAGATTAACCTCAAGTCTGCTGTAAGTGGGGGAGAGGATGCCAGTTCACATTATCACAGTTACCATTATTATTATTATTTTTTGGCCAAAATCAACCTTCATTTCTTAGTGTACATTTCTATAGTTACTAATTCAGTCAGGCTCAACTGGGTTCTCTGCTTCAATGCTCATAAGGCTAACTCAAGGCATCAGCCAGACTGGGCTTTTTTTCTGGAAGCTCAAGTAAAAAATCCACTTCCAAAGCTCATTCAAATGGTTGGGAAAATTTATTGTCTTGTCATCACAGTTTAAAGATTGTACTCTACAAGGGTAGCAAACACTATCCTCGTTGACCTTCAGGGTTGGGACTGTGTGACTTGTTTATATATGTGTATATTTGTGTGAGAGAGAGCAAAATAATGTATACTTGGTACGGTTTAGTGTTAACTGTTGGGATATCAGAAATATAAATAATACTTAAAGTGTACTGCCCATTCCTTGTGGAAGAAGCACCTGTAAGCACTGTATGTACAGTGTATTCCTTTATTTAATCCTCACAAAAGTCCTATGTGGTAGATTCTATTACTATCCCCATTTGTAGATTAAGAAACTGAGACTTAAATAAGATAAATAGCTTGCTCATGATTTCACAGCTGATAAATAGCAGCACCAGAATTGAACTAACCTCTGTCTTGAAAACAAAGTTCTTATATACTGTGCTACCCTGAGGAAACTTCTAGTTGAAAAATTGTGGTCTCATATG